>NC_000015.10:85380672-85532187 GCF_000001405.40 Homo sapiens | reverse complement strand
ATTTTAGGGTGGTAGGAAACATTTACCAAGCAAGTACCTAGCACACGCCAGGCATCTGACAGTCATCTCTCCACAACAATTTTATGAGGCATGTATTGTTCTCAATTTATAGATGAGAAACTGAGACTTAAAGAAGTAACTTGCCCCATGTTACACAGATATTAAGGTGCAGAATTCATTATTCAGAGTCGAGGCTGATGCCAAAGGACATGGTCTATTATATCAGGATGCAAGGGTTTTGTATCACATTGCCTATAAACAGGGCAATGTGTTTGAAGAGGAAGAAGGCTAAGAGCTAAGTCCCTGCCTAAGAGGAGCCTAACACTTGGAATGATGGGCTAGTTTAACTTTTAAGCAAGAATAATTGGTTCATGAACCATGAAGATAAGTCTTCACATGAACACTGAATCCACACGATACTCCCACTGCCTTCCAAGTCGAATTCTTTCTAAGAAGGCTGTAGCAAGCTGAAGCATCCGCTGCCTGGTGTGTGTGTGCAAGTGCGAGCACGTGCACATGCATGCACACTTTATAATAATGTATATGCGGTATTTATGCATTTAATATATGAAAGAGAATTAGGGGAAAAAAGCAATATTTCTTTGAAGGGCAGCCAGCCTAACTACACAGACATCAATGTTAGCAGAAACAAGCCAAATGATTCAGTTAGTAAGATTTGTCTATTTTTCTAGCAGAAAATGTTTCTTTTAAAATATTCTCTAACATCTGACTCAGTTTTGTTCAAGAGCTAAAAGCTAGACATCCATCAAGTCCAGGCACTATGATCAGAAGGTGAAGATGAGTAAAGTAAGGAGTCTCAACTCCCCAGAGATTTACGGTTCATAACAGAGAATCAAGTTGCAGATAACTGCAATGAAGTCAAAATGAGAGGAGTT
Organism: Homo sapiens; assembly: GCF_000001405.40. Classification (NCBI taxonomy): domain Eukaryota; kingdom Metazoa; phylum Chordata; class Mammalia; order Primates; family Hominidae; genus Homo; species Homo sapiens. The sequence goes on along the minus strand of NC_000015.10, from coordinate 85,531,291 downwards.
CTACAAGAACTTTCCTATCTAAAATACCTAAATATCTAAATACAGTGCAATCTGGGGAGAGGAGTGGTGCATTCCATATGTGGGCAAAAGCAGGAAGATTTCACAAAGGAGATGGCAATTAAGAAGGACTTAGGCCAGGCGCGATGACTCATGCTGTAATCCCAGCACTTTGGGAGGCCGAGGCAGGCAGATCACTTGAGGCCAGGAGTTCGAGACCAGCCTGGCGAACATGGCAAGACTCTGTCTGTACTAAAAATAAAAATTAGCCGGGCATCTGTAGTCCCAGCTACTAGGGAGGCTGAGGCAGGAGAATCACTTGAACCTGGGAGGCAGAGGTTGCCATGAGCCAAGATCATGCCACTGGACTCTAGCCTGGGAGACAGAGACCCTGTCTCTAAATAAATAAATAAAATCTAGAAGGGGCCTCCTAAATTCTTTATTATTATCACCCAAAACACCATATATAGCCTCACTTAATTTCCAAATAAACTGATGGTGGATGGATGATGAACGATGGATGGATGGAGTGATACGTATGTCAGTCAGGAGAACTGCTTTAAAGAAGAAATGCTGTGGTTCGTCAACAGAATCAATATATAGCATTGTCCCATTTATCCAAAATTAAGCTAATCTGTAAACTTCTGAAAGTCCTTTGAGGTAGATATGAATAAATGTCAATAAATGTCAAAATTTCACAATTCAATGATGATGATGATGCAAGTAATCTGAGATCCAAATTGAATTATGCCTTCAAACCTTAAATTTACAGTGCCTTAGAAGAGAGATTACACTATGTAAAACAGAATATCCACAGCCCTATCCATTTAACCAGTCCTTTTCCTTTCTTATTGATCTCCTTCCTCAGGCCTATGCAAAGATGAGAAACCTGAACCCTTGAATCAGAAAGGGAGTCACAATACCACTAAAAGTAAACACCATTCACACAGCAAAGAGCCATGGTGAAGCAATGCTACCTTACCCAAAACTGTGAAGTGCCAAAGTAAGTATCAGCACAGAAATTTGTCCCGAATTGCTAAAATGACTGTTTACTCAGGCAGAATGGGATGAGGGCGAACGACAGGGAGAGAAACAGAACAACGCGGGATGGGTGTGTGTTGGGGCGCGGGGGTTGTGCTTGGCAACAACAGTATGCTTATCTCTTTCTGCTGCATTAGCAGAGTTTGTTAGCAGGTGAATGGATGGATGTGTGAGCTACTGTCAGCTCTGTGTATAACTAAAATCAAACTGTATAACCGAGAAGGCAGAATGTCAGAAATAGCCATGAAAGAGATACCTGAGAAACTGTCCAATTGTTAATCCAATATTTTCCCTTCAGACACGAATTCAAAATCTGAAGAAGAAACTATGAATCATCATAAGTAAAATATGCCATAAATCTGGAATTTGTTTGGTACGATTAGAGGCTTCTTTTTCAAAAGAAAACCTGAGGGTTAAAAGATGAGTGGGGAACTCAGGGTTTCCTGGATTAGTCTTTATTAAACTTAAGAGTACATTGGAAGCGTTACTACTGATCAAGAATAAAGTACCTCACCCTACTGTCCGGAAATCAACCACACCAGTTTGGCAGGCCTACTCTCTCACATTAATGTTTTCCATTAGGTTCAAGTGGCTCTCAAGATTATTTTTTAATTCCTATAACCTTTCTGATAAAGCACCTGGGGGGTAAATCAGCATTTTTTAAAAAGTTACATAATACAGACTCAATAATTTTACACCGCGTATGCCTACACCAAACCTCTTACTATCATAAATTAGCGCTAGAGACATGACTATTTGCAACAGGGTCATTAGTCATATGACTACCTTTGTACATAAAGACTGCAGGGTTATTTTATTTATTTATTTATTTTGAGACGGAGTCTCGCTCTGTCTCCCAGGCTGGAGTGCAGTGGCACGATCTCGGCTCACTGCAAGCTCTGCGTCCCGGGTTCACACCATTCTTCTGCCTCAGCCTCCTGAGTAGCTGGGACTACAGGCACCCGCCACCATGCCCCGCTAATTTTTTTGTATTCTTGTAGAGATGGGGTTTCATTGCATTAGCCAGGATGGTCTCGACCTCCTGACCTCGTAATCCGCCCGCCTAGGCCTCCCAAAATGCTGGGATTACACCTTACACCGTGCCTGGCCAACTGCAGGGTTATTAACAATGTCTACAATTACACTGCAAAGACATGGGGATGAGAAACTGTATCCAATTTGATATAATAACCACAATCTAACTTTCTGCATAAAAACAGAAGCTGCAGTAGGAAGAACAATAGCAGGATTTTCAGTTAGTTCCATGGTGTTTTTCCTTTGATTAAATTTCCTGGTAACAAGAAAGGAAAATAAAAATCCCAATCTTTTTTTAAAAAGGGAAGTTCTGAAAATTTTACTGAACTTATGAAGGCAGCTACTCTAGAGGATTTAGAGAGGGGAAGGAGAGAGAGAAACTATTGGAAGAAACACAGCCCAAACTTTAATTCCGTATTTTAAATTAGGAATTAATTTCTGAACTTCTCACACTATCAAGTCCACTTACAAGACAAATATAAATTATGGGGTGGGAGAAGTCTGCTCCCAGCTGAGTAAACTGTAGGGATCCTCATCAAGTATGCTGGCAATTAGCTGTCAAGTAGAAAATATTAGGTTTGAACTCCAGCTCCACTGCAACAGATTTGGTTATCCTGAGAAAGTCATTCAACCTTGAAGCCTGTTTTCCTTGTACACAAAATGAGAACACCATCAACCTTACGGATTGTTAAAAACATTAGAGCTGTGCACAAAGTATCTGGCATAAAATGGGCAACTAAAACTGGTAGTTTTTATTATTAGCTATTAAAATGCTTCTGTTTAGGAAACTCAAGGAAAACAGATCCCTAATACTCTACAAAGAGCTTCTCCAGCATGGCCCAACAAAGCTTGCCATTGGCACTATAGAACTAAAAAAATTAAGTGAGGAGGGAAAGAATAAACAAAAACACAAGGAGCACCTAGGTGAGAAACAAAAACTTAACTACTGATGACCCTCTTAAAATCACCTAATCTGCACCTTTTTTATGCTGGCAGGTCAGGAGGTGTGTGTGTGCGAGGTTGGGAGAGCTCTCCTGCAGGCTCCTTCTCACTATATGGAGCACCGCACCCATGGAAACGAAATATTGCTACTGATAAACAAAACTGCTGAAGCACAGCCCAAGAATTACTTCATTTCCTATTAAGCTAAAAGTGGAATGCATCCCATCTGGGCCCTCTCTTTTGAGGATGAAACAATAGGAACTTTGTTTCATCAGCTATCCAAAAAGAAACCCTAAAAGTGTTTGCTGGGCCAGCCAAGCCCAGTCCCACACAGATGTCACCTTCTAAGAGAAAAAATGATGGAAAATATAAAAATAATATCTTTATTACTTCAGTTTCGCATCAAAGTCTCTAAAAATCTGGTGTCTTTTTCTTCCTTATGAAGTGTCTATGATAGGGTTAAAGGAAACAAATTTTCAGTCTTCAGATTCAGACTCTAATAGGAAATAGGATTATGTGCAGAAGTATACACCCACTGCTGGGTTTTGGGGACCTAATAGTAGTGTGCAAATTTGGTATATGTGTAAAATGTCTCTATGTGTACAGGAGTATTTAATCAGAAGAGAACAAAGAGTAGGCACAGGAATTTCACCATGAGCATTTTAGAGGAGGAAGGAGAGATTTAATGCTAAAAATGTGCTCCGCTATATTCCAGCCCACACCTCTAAGGCAGTGTTTCTCAGCCTTTTCTTCCATTATCATATCCCAAAGAGCCTTTTCAGACATTATTCTCTACTCACTCCTCACTTCATGAAACTTTAATACCACAGATATACCACAAATTTGTGTAACTGTGTTTTATATATCACTGTAAGTTTTTTTTGGTCCCAAAAGGCAATTTTCACCCCCTTGGGAGGATATCACTCCCTTAATATTGTATGCCCTAGGATTCCAGTGCTGTGTTCATGGTTCCAAAGTTATGAAATATATAATTTCCTCCTAACATTACAACAGGGCCGGGTGCGGTGGCTCACGCTTGTAATCCCAGCACTGTGGGAGGCCAAGGCGGGCGGATCACGAGGTCAGGAGATCAAGACCATCCTGGCTAACACGGTGAAACCCCGTCTCTACTAAAAAACACAAAAACTTAGCCGGGCGTGGTGGCGGGCGCCTGTAGTCCCAGCTACTCGGGAACTCGGGAGGCTGAGGCAGGAGAATGGCCTGAACCCAGGAGGCGGAGCTTGCAGTGAGCAGAGATCGCGCCACTGCACTCCAGCCTGGGCGACAGAGCGAGACACCCTCTCAAAAAAAAAAAAAAAAAATTACAACTAAGGACAGTAGACAACAGATTTTTTTCCTCTTCAACTAGTTCTCACTCTGTTTTTCCAGTATAACCACTATATGTACTAACTAGCATTAGGACAGTAATTTAAGTTTTCTAGAATATAAAATCTCATCTGTCTAGAGATAGCTTGAGAGTATTTCAGAATAGGGAGACTGTTAGAAAAAGTCCAATAAAAATAACTGATTACCTTGACAGGCGTTGCCAGGGGCAGGGCCAGGCTGGGGGATGGGGGGTGTCAGAATTCTCTAATGAAGCCCATTAAATTAAAAGTCTACAACTTCTTTTCAAATATGCTATTCCATTTGGTAATACTGGACACCTGCTGCTAGAAAGTAATTCTTGGTTGACGAGAAATGAAAGAGGCCAGGTATGGTGGGTCACGCCTGTAATCCCAACACTTTGCTAGGTGGAGGCAGAAGGATCACTTAGACCAGAAGTTTGAGACCAGCTTGGGCAACACAGGGAGACACCATCTACACACACACACACGTGCCAGCCACTTATGATGGACACACACACGTGCCACTTACGATGGTGAGTGCTACTTGGGAGGCTGAGGTATAAGAATAACTTCAGCCTGGGAAGTCAAGCCTGCAATGATCTGTGATTGTGCCACTGCACTTCAGCCTGGACAAAAGAGTGAGACTCTGTCTCAAAACAAAACAAAAAAAAAGAGAGAAAGAAAAAGAAAGACATAACATATTATAACTCAGACCATTTGTTGCAATCTGGGCTGCAATTTTTTTCTTTAAACCCAAAAGAACTTCTGATCAGGTAAATGTATTATTCTTTTTTAATGACAAATCTACTTTATAAAGTACCCTCCCTTATCAGTGAAAAAGAAAAGGAAAATATAACAGAGCTGAGTCAAATTTGGAGTCAATAAAGGTTTGTAGTTCTTCAAACAAGAACTCTTGCTGTGAATTCTAAAAATAAATAACAGACATGCTGAAAATAGATTTCATTTTATGAAAGATTCTGCACCAAAGCCTTTTACAAAAATAGTATACAAAACCCACTAAACATCCTGTTCCATCTTCCACTATGAAATCACTGCTTGGTCTAAATTCACAGTTTCATTAATAAAAATGAACACAATAAAACAGTACTCTATGCCCCCATCCCACCCCAACAATTATCTTCAAAGGATGTCCAGATTTTGTACACTATTTGCCAATCCTACATAGGTCTTAAAAAAACAAATCTCAGCTTTAGAGGAAAATCACTAGTTAATTAAAATGTCATTTAGGGTTGTATTTGTTTTCTATGAAGGGACAATAATGGAATATTTTACTTTCATTTATTACTAAGGCAAGATCTTTCATTACTAGAAGTATACTTCCATCTCAAGCTATGTTTCAAGGCAAATTATATTCTTGAACTAGCCACTTTCATAGGTGTTTTAAATGTAATATTTTATTATAACGCTTTGGTTAGCCTCCAGTGTTAATCAGCACAAAGATGGATTTATTTTCAAAAGACAGGACATTCTTTTCAGCCTTCAGAATGTTTTCATCAAAAATTACTATGTATCATAAAAATAACATGCTCACTGTAAACATTTAAACAATTCAGGCTGGGCACGGTGGCTCACAACTGTAATCCCAGCACTTTGGGAGGCCAAGGCAGGTGGATCACGAGGTCAGGAGATCGAGACCATCCTGGCTAACACGGTGAAACCCTGTCTCTACTAAAAATACAAAAAAATTAGCCAGGTGTGGTGGTGGGCACCTGTAGTCCCAGCTACTCGGAGGCTGAGGCAGGAGGATGGCGTGAACCCAAGAGGCGGAGCTTGCAGTGAGCCGAGATCGCGCCACTGCACTCCAGCCTGGACCACAGAGCGAGACTCCATCTCAAAAAAAAAAAAAAAAAATTTAAAGATAGATAAAATAGAAAGTCAAAGTCTCCACGTACCTGCCCTCTAAGATGTTACTACTTACGCTTAAAATACTTTATTTTTAAAAAGGAGGGGAAATCACATCATAACTACTTTAAAAGGCCTTTACAACTTCTTTGTAATTACACACAGACACACACACACACACACACACACACAGGGGAATGGGGAAAGAGGGGGCAGGAGGGAGGGACAGACAGACAGACACACACACACTTCATTGTAGGACTTATTACAAAACACGCAAAAAAAAGAGAGAAAACTGAGATGGGTGGGGAGATGGGCCTGCAATTTCAATATCCGAAGTCAAAACAATTTATTAGGAGATAATTTAGAATGTCTGTGTGTCAACTCTATTTAGGGAAATATTGATTTGATAAAAGGTTACAGACTAACATCAAAAAGTGCTGCCTTTTGAAGGTTAATCAATCCTTTGGTTTTAGGAAAAACTAAAATGTTACAAAACACACAGTGAAACATACAGAGAACTCAAAGAAAAATCAGAGCCAGCAATCTGGATGAAACATGAAAAATAAAAAAATAATAATAAAAGCAAGAAGAGGCTGGGCACGGTGGCTCACGTCTGTAATCCCAGCACTTTGGGAGGCCGAGGTGGGCAGATCACGAGGTCAGGAGTTCAAGACCAGCCTGGCCAACATGGTGAAACCCCATCTCTACTAAAAATACAAAATTTAGCCAAGTGTGGTGGTACGCCTGTAATCCCAGCTGCTCAGGAGGCTGAGGCAGGAGAACTGCTTGAACCCAGGAGATGGAGGTTGCAGTGAGCCAAGATCGTGCCATTGCATTCCAGCCTGGGCAACAGAGCAAGACTCCTTCTTGGGGTGGGGGGTGGGGGACAAGAACAAGACACAAAGCTCTTTTTCTTCTCTTAGCCAAAATGACTAGAAATTGCAGAGCTAGTCCCACACGTAAGCACAAAGAGTGCAGAGACATCCCTGCAGGCAGTAGCTGCTGCAACAAACAGACCATGCACATTTATCCAGGAACTGGGATGCACAGTGCACTGCATGGACTTTCCACGAAGACTGGACTTTCCATGCAGATTCTTGACTAATCTAACACTGCCCTCAGCAAACAGGAAATCTGAGGCTATCAATGCAGCTAACTGGTACACAAAAATCATCGTATTCCTTCTCCAAGCTAAAAATGCAACTCAAGAAGCCAGAGACTCTTTTGAATTTATTAAAAAACAAAAAAAGGGGGGCGGGGAGGGGGGTTACGTGTGAGTGCGAGTGTGGGTGTATTCACATACATACACATCTTTCTAGAAGAGCAGCTTCTGGGAAGCTGGATGTGTGAAATGTTGTTCTATCAAGTGACAGTTTCCTAGAACAGCCTTCTTAGCAGATACCAGTGAAGAAACCAAACAAAGATCCTTGTCCTCATAAAGCTGACACTTTAGTTGGGGCAGATAGAAAATAAATAAGATAAATAAGTAAAATATATGTGAGAAGTTGAAAAGTGCAATGGAGAAACATAAAGCAGGAAAGGGGGATAGGGAATGTGGAGAGGAGGCAGCTGTGTATTTTTATGAGCTGGACCGAAAGGCCTCACTGAGGAGGTGATACTGAGTAAGGGCCTGAAGGAAGGGAACACACAAGTCTAAGTCCACAAAGGCAGATTTAAAGAAGTTTAGGTCCAGGCTAAAGAATTTACCCCATGTTATAAACAAGAAATGCAAAACAAGTTAACCCCCAAAATGCCTCTATCTCTACCCCTCCACAATAAATTACCAAACTAAGCCAAATGACAGTAGCTGAAAAAGACAAGTAATCAGAAAAATCTCATATGTGATAAGCAGAGCAATAGGGTCCGGTCAGGAATCTCCTTTGCTTAGTTAACAGAGTTTCTACTATACCAACTAAGGATCTCACTGGTACCCTTGCACACATATCAAAGGCTCACACGTTAAAGTGTTGCCTTACTCTGCATTTGGCCTTCCAGAAGTAAAAAAAGGTCTTTCAAGGACTCTAATCCTTCTGTTACCTCTGCTGTGATGAGGCACCTCATATCAGCTGCCTGACTAAATTCAGGTGGGAAGCAGAACATTCAGGCCAATGGGATGGGGGCGACGGGGGGAGGGGGTGTGGGTGGGGGTGGGGGGGGTGGCTGGTATCTGACCTCATAAGCATGATGGAAAAATACTGAAATGTGGCTAAGAGGAGAGATGATTAGCAGAAAACAGAAGAAAAGCCAGGTACTAGGTAGGACTACAGGGCCAAAGCAAAGGGGTCAGGAATGATTTCTGAGGATTCGGACCAAATTAGAGGAAAGGAGCAGAGTCTAATACCCATTCTGCTTGGCTTGGGTAGGCAGGGCAAGGGTACTTACATAGACATATATAAAGTGGTACTAGAATCAAAGTCAAGGGAAGAAATGTGAACTAGAGCTCAGAAAGGGAGGCTGAGGACAATGTACAAGGATCTGGTACAAACTTAGAGCTCCAGGCTGTCATACAAGTTCAGTGACTCTGAGAAAGTAATTGCCTGCTGCCCATCCTAATTTAAGGACCTTACCAGTAAAGGCATAAGGGCTTCCAGGTACATCCCTCTCCACCAATAGAACAGACTTTGTTGGGATTTGTGACTGAGGATCACAGTTAGGACACAGGCCATGCTTTTTGTATTTGCCTTTTCCCTTATATCTGCTTGCAGTCTCCTTGTATCTACTTATATGCCCTTTCTAGATATATATGCACACACAGGTATATAAACACACAGCCCTCGAACTTTAACCCTAAAGTGTTCCTATTATAGGAAGTATTATGTTTATAAAAATTACCTCAATTCCTTTCCTAATGAGAACTGAGTCACGGACTGATCGATTATACCTAGGTTAAGAAGCTGTTTCTCCCCATCACCAACACATAATAAATGTTCAGCAATGGTGATACTGGATGGTACCTGCTAGAGAGCAGACCTCAAGTTCCAGAAAAGCCTTTCTGATATGATATACATCACAGGAAACAAGATGACTGGAGCTGTGGGTTACAAGGAAGGATATCTAATACTCTTCAGAAAAGAAATCGGTATCTATGCTGACTACCTTCTTTTATTCCCTGTCCATAAAAATTTGGCAATAATATACCTAGAGACTCTCTAGAATCTTTAAATCCTTGAATTTTCAACATCATTTTTGCCAAGTAGGAGGATAAATACAGCTTTCAACTGTCATAATCCCAGTTCTTAAATAAGTTATAATTTACAGAATTTGGTAGGTGGCCGACATAACAGTAATATACATAAAATGGCACAGCAATAAAAAACTGGCAATCTGTTCCAATACCAGCAGGACCAGATATTCAAACTGCTTTATAAACTAATAAATTTTTTTATACTGTCTACACTTCACTCTTCCTGTCACTCTATACTCATAAACATCGAATAAAAGGGTTTAAGAACTAGGAAAAGCTAGTAAGGATCCCATTCAAATACTTACCAGGAGCAATGGTCTCCAATGTATCAGAACTGACCTTCCGAGTACTTGTACAGTGACGGAGGGTGGAACCCAAAAATACCAAGTAAAACACTACATCATCTTCAGCTTTGTCCTCTTCAGCAAGCAGCACTGTAACAACACAATCACCCTAGGAAAGGAAACAATATAGCAAGTTTACATTAGTAAGGTTCCTCTTCGCAGCCTATCTTTATCAAACATCATATTTAAGGGAAAATCAAATTTATCATCTAAACCATGCCCCCATTCTGGTAAGCTGAAACAAGTATAAAGATTGAGCACTTATACACCAGGCAATCATCTAGGCATTCACAATACAGAATGAACCTGAAAATAAGATCGCTCTCTCTTCTTTAAACTTACATTTTAGTGGAGGTCATTAGACAAGTAAGTTAATCAACAAGATGAAGGAAAACTTTACTTGATGAATGGGTTAAAAAGGGGAGGGGCAGGGGGAGACATAGAAGAAAATCCAAAAATAAGGCAGAGAGGATGGAGGGGGTATAATAAATGATCACATCCTTATACTCAGAATGCTCCTTAACTCCTGTGTTCCAGTTGACAATAATTCTCTAAATTCTATATCCCATAAATCATTACCAAGTCCATACATTCTCCAGCAACAGGCTTGCCTGGAAAGGGTAGAGTGCAAAGAAGACGAGCTTGGGCTCCAGCTTAAGTGCACAGCAGGCTACAACATCCAAGTTTGTGTTAAGTATATGCTATGATGTTTGCACAACAAACAAAATCACCTAATACCACATTTCTCAGAACGTATCCCCATAGTTTAAACAACACATGACTGTATAGGAAAGCTCCTGGAACATGTTCAACTCTCGGTCTATAATATTTTTAACCTATTTCAATAGGAGGCTGCTTTTCTAATAATTTGTATTTCCTGACCATCTGACATTCCTACTCTTCTTTATCCACCCCTACATTAATCCCATAAAATCAGACAAAAATCTTGAGCCAATAACTTTGTCTATGACTTTGCAACTACTAGAAGGTAAGACATCTTTGTCTTTCAGTTGCTTTTTTTTTTTTTTTTTTTTTTTTGAGACGGAGTTTCCCTCTTGTTGCCCAGGCTGGAGTGCAGTGGCGTGATCTCAGCTCACTGCAACCTCCAACTCCTAGGTTCAAGCGATCCTCATGTCTCAGCCTCCTGAGTAGCTGGGATTACAGGCACCCACCACCACGCCCAGCTAAATTTTTTTGTATTTTTAGTAGAGACAAGGTTTCGCCGTGTTGGCCAGGTTGGTCTCGAATCCTGACCTCAGATGATCCACCCGTCTCAGCCTCCCAAAGTGCTAGGATTACAGGAGTAAGCCACCGTACCCAGCCGCAAATACTCTTTAGTAGTTTTTATATATTGATTTTTTTTTTAAATCAAGGCCAGTGGCTAAATATATTCTATGAAATACAGTCCTAATTATTAGCATTCTCCCAATTACGAACTATATAATTCCTGTTGTAACCATAACAAAAGATTACAAAGCATCAAGGTTTAAAGCACTGAGATTTAATACTATATAAATCTTAATAATGCACTATAGAAAAATCAATCTAGAGAAGGCTGGGCCATTTTAGCATCATAATTAGGGGAGTAAATTCTCATTATGTACAGAATATTTTTCCTTTCGATTTTAGCAACAATTAAAGCCAACAAGAGAAACATACCACCCTGTGGTCACAATTTACTAAGCCCAGCAGCATAACTGAGCAGAAGGTAGTTTTTTACTAAACACTAAAAAGCAAAAATCATCAAGTCAAACCTAGGAACCAGGTCTATTAACAAACAATGCTCCAGTGGGTCCATGACTACTACGACTACCACAGTGGAGCATTCAACAGTATCCTAATCCAAGGAATATCACGGCTGGTAAAACAGAATTATCACTGACTTCAGTTACTACTCAGAATTAGACTTCTGTCTTGTTTATAAGACTCTCTCTTGGAAACATTTTTGAAAAGCTTAGCCTGGTAAAATGTGTAATCTTCTTTGGCATGATGCAACCAGTTAAAAAGATGTTTTTGCAGCGTGTATGAGAAGAGTCCATTTCTCAAGGTACTGAAATATCCTCACAGCCTGAAAAAAGTACAAATAAAAAGTTCCATCCTTTGCAGCACAGGTTGACAAACTATGACTAGGTTGACAAACTATGACCCACAAGTCAATTCCAGCCTCCCACCATCCCCTGTTTTACATTTTGTGGGGGCGGGTGTGGGGGTTAGGGTTAGGGAAGAAAGAAGGCCTTTTAATCCTTTTAATGTGAAAATTACATGAAATTCAAATTTCACTGTCAATAAATAAAGGTTTAATTGAACCCAACCCATTCATTTACCCATCATCCATGGCTAGTTTTGCACTACAATGGGCCATAAAAGGTAATGATTACGTGAGAACTTAGCCCACAGCCTAAATTATTTACTATCTGGACTTTTACAGGAAAAAAAAAAAATTCACTTTGATTTCTAACCTGGTATTCTAAGAATATATCTTCCTTTTCCAGATCAAGAATTTTGTCCTCATATGAGACCCAACATCTTGCTGGGAGACTCTCTGTGCCCCAAGATACTAGTGAAGTCTGGGCCTTCCTTTGGGGACAGAGGAGGTGGCTAATTATAGGCAGATGAAATCCTTTTAGCAATGCTTTCAATATGAACCTCTTTTTACAAGTAAGTTTTAAATTGCTTTCATACCTTTAATTGGGTTTTTGTTGTTGTTTGAGACAGGTTCTCACTTAGTTTCCCAGGCTGGAGTGCAGTGGCACAATCAGGGCTCACCACAGCCTGCAGTTCCAGGACTCAAGTGATCCTCCCCCTGCTGCCTCCCAAGTAGCTGGGACAACAGGCATGCGCCACCACTTCTGGCTTTTTAAATTTTTGTAGAGATCAGGTATCCCTATGTTGCCCAGGATGGTCTCAAACTCCTGAACTCAAGCAATCCTCCAGCCTTGGCCTGCCAAAAATGTTGAGATTACAGGCATGAGCCACTGCACCTGGTCTGTAGTTTTTTTGTTGTTTTGTTTGTTTGTTTGTTTTTAATATTAAGTCACACTACCTTATGCCCAAAATATTCAAGAGAAGAGAACACAGAAGCTCCATTCATTTCAAAGCCTCTTGAAATTTAGATTCCGAAGGCACCTGGAATTAAAATTACCTGTTTTCCTTGAAGGAGTATTCTCTGCACACTGATAAAGTCACTGACAGCAAATAACAAACTGCATTTCAGCCACTAACTCCCATTTTACTCCAGTAGAACCAGGTACCTACTATTACTTGAGATGGCTTTTAAAGATTAAATGAGTAGAATGGTGATGAAAAAATAACAAGGAAAAACAGATCTAGGTAACAATTTTTGTCATGATGCTTTAATCCTACCATCCTTAAAGAATACCCTGGTATTAATAAATTATTCTGCTGTGCCTGGGAAAGACCAGCCTACAAGAATAAATAGACACATCAGTCTGGCTACACAGTGAACAAGTCTGCCATGTTTCTAAATAAAATAAAATAGATCAACTTATTAACAAGGGCAATATTCAAGACATTCTCAATTATCATTTTAGTTTGACCCAACCTCAGGAAGAGTACACACCTACATCACCACCCTCTTCCAATAATCTGAACTTAAGAAACAGCGTGATCCCCTTACACAGATATTTTCCATGTTTCTTCATTAGTGAGAAATGTATCCCTGCAACTGACAATTTTTTCAGGGTCCTAATTAGTTTTGCTGACAGATGACACAAAAACTAATGGAAAAGACCTCTATACTAGGCCTTATTCTGTAAATATAGGTTAGCTCCCCCCACCCCCATATAAATAAACTGTGTTCTAAAATATCACCTATCAAATCACTTATTTGCAAATAAAAACAGGTTTTTATAAAACAGTTACTTTAAAATGGGGTTTTAAATGGTAGCCATGGTCTCACTTTTCCCCATCCTGAAGTAATTCTTAGAGTAGCTACATACTATAATAATGGCACTGTAACTTCCTTTATATATTAAGTTTAAAAAAATCTTTTCACCTAGATTTCAACCCTGGAATTCTAAGAACGTATTTTCCTTTTCTAGACCAAAGATTTCCTCACTTCATAAGACCCAACATCTTGCTGGGAGACTCTCCATGTCCCAAGATACTAGTGGTCTGAGGCTTTCCTTTAACTGGGAAAAGTAACTTGATGGGGGGAAAAAAAAAAGTGTGATGGGAAAGGGAAACGTATTTGGGGGATGGGAAGAGTCAAATTACAGTGCAGGGATGAATGGAAAGAAATGGGCTTTGAACAGGGAAGGTAGTAGATATGGATTAGGAGAATGAGATAGAAAGCCCTGTAGGAGGAAGAGTGAAAGACAGGATGGCACTGATGTCATCTTAGATAGTAAGGAAGTGTCAGCCATAGATTTTCAAAGGTGGGCCCAGTCAGCAGCAAAGAAATCACAGTGGTATACTGGAGCTGGCTTGTGTAGGCTCATGAGTGCTCATTGTTAAATTTTCAGGAATTCTGCAAGACAGCTGTTAAACTCAGCCATTATTAAAAATTACATGATATAGGCTTATAACTAAGTAAACTGCATTAAAAACAAATGTCATAAATACTCAAAACTTATCACTTTCTAATTATTTACCACAACATACTATTCTCCATGCCCTGAAAGTTTGTATCTATTGTATCCAGACAGCAGAAATTCCACATAATGGTGTCCTGCTGCGTGTCTTCACAACTCACATCTCTTGTCAAATCTGTATTCGTAATGTGGTGTGGATACCTGAAATCAACCATTATGGGAGTATTTACACCACTGAAATTGGCAAATGATATAAATGAGGGCTTTCTTTTTTTCTTTTTAACCAGCACACCACTGAGAACAGGTCAGCAGAAGGGAAGGAGAGGGGAAAAGGGGAGAATTTCCACAGGGAGGACCAAGGAAGGCCGTGGCAGGCCCATTTAAGAGACATCACCACTTACGGAAAGAATGGAGGTCTTGCTATAAGACAAAACCCTAGTCAAGTACAAACCATCACAGGTTATAGGTAACAGTGTCATCATAGTTCTCCTCACAGCAGTTCAGTATTATCACCACTTTAAGTTAACTTGTTAGTTTATAACTTGTTAGTGTATCACCGTGATTAAGAAGATGATCTCTGACACCAACCTGCCTGTGTCTTTATCACAGTATGGTATATCACTTTACATCTGTTTAACTTGGGGTATGTTGTTTAACTTCCTTATGCCATAATGGAGGACAAGAATCATCAACCTTATCTCATAAGGTCGTTTTGAAGAATTAAGTGATTGATAAAAGGAAAGCACCTATATCAAGTGCCTGGCACATAATATTCAATAAATGACTACTATTATAATGTGCCAGGATGTACACCCCATTAGAGCATGTTTTATTCACTGAGAAACCTGCTTTGTCTAGACTAGTAAGTTGCATCTGAAGAGACAGAAAGGGAGACACCAAAACTTTAATGGCAGTTATTCCTAGGTGGAATTTTAATACACCATGTGCTTTTCTGAGTTTTCTGATTTTTAACATCTTTGTTGTTAAAAATTGGACAACAGAAAAGATGTTTAAAATGTTAAAGAAGTTGTTAAAAACACAACAAAGATGTTGGAGAAATGCTCACTTAAGGCTTATAAATAACAAAGGGGAAAGCAGAACTTTGGCAGATAACACCTGAATCAAATGATTTAAAAAAAAAAGGAAAAATAACCATAGAGAAATAAGCTAACATCACATTTCACATAGCATGCACTAAGGACACAGCATCACTTACAGTGTTCCTAACAAAAATGCATAACTTCAATCTAGTCATGAGAAAACATCAGACAAACTTGAATTGAAGGGGCATCTATGTAAAAAAATGGTCTGTAACTCTTCAGAAAATGTCATTAACAAAAGACAAAGATTGAGGTCCTGTTCCAGAGTAAAGAAGACTAAAAAGATTTGCCAACTAAACACAACACATGATTTTGGAGTGAATACTTAATAAAAACAAGCTGCTATTAAGGATATTATCGGGACAACTTGCAAAATCTGAATGAGGTTTACAGATTAACATGGAACCAATGTTAAAATTCCTGGTTTTGGTATTGTGCCGTGGTTATGAAAGAACACCTTTGTTCTCAGAAACCACACAACAAAGCGTTTGGAGTAAAGGGACGTGAGACCTACAATTTACTCTCCAATGGTTCAGGAAAGAAATGATAAGAGACAGAATGATTAAGCAAATATGGCAAAATGTCAACAGTTGGAAAATAGGGGCATAAAGTTTATAAGATGTAATATCTGTTCTATCCTTACAGCTTTTCTATAAACTTGAAATTATTTCAGAATAGTTTCCAAGAAATATCTGCTCAAATAATTTATAATCAAATATTTGAAGTTAAAAGGTATAAAATTTAGATTCCTGAGTTTATTTTTTATATCTTGCAGTCACATATTTTATGTAAAGACATTCTTGTAGGCTCCAAGAATTGTGAAATTATAACAAAAACTACCTTTCAATCCAGAATCTTAAAAGTTTCACAGGCCTTCCCAAATTTATTTCCCAGTCTGACAAAATGACAGGATTTATACCCACTGCAAATTTGGGAAAAGTGAAACAAGAGAGTTAAGTAAACTAAATAAAAACTGAGTGTTATTACAGGGTATTACCTTTCCATGAGGTGGCAATTATTACAGTACCAAAAAAAAAAAACCCCTCAAAATCTCATTAACCAACACTGCTTGTATTCACATAACTATCTTCGTTCTCTCCTTTAAACATACAATTGATAGGCAATTGATAACACTTTGCCCAGTTACTCTGCTAAAACAACCAAACACTGACAGGTAGCTACAACTTTTCCATAGGCTAAAAGGCAAAGTCATGGCATTTTAACTTGGCAACTCATGGCAGCCAGTGTTCAATTTCATTAAAGGCTTACACAACAGAGGAACACTCAGTAGCAATGAATATTATCTAGTGTACAGGCATTGGTCACTAATACCATTCTCCAATAAAAAGAACCGAGTCCCTTCAGAGACTTGGCTGATTCCAGGCCTGGGTCAGAGTATCTATAAGATGAGACTGTAATATCTTGTTTTGACAGAAAACAATGAAGTGCTCAAAAAAACGATGGGGCCATGTCTTAAGGACACAGAAGCCAGACTCAAGTGGCTTCCTCTGTACAAACCTGGGACAATTTAAAGACTACACAATCAAGAACAGCAATAAATTATAAACAATTTTTTTAACAAATAGGAAGTCATGAGTCCATATTAATAACAGTAGATAAATTATACAGCAGAGAAGGGAGTTCCTATGAGTATCACAGAATGACGGGCTGACTGCTTAAAGAGGGGAGATTGCTGGAATAGTAAAATTATCACTGCGCAAACATATGGTAAAGATTCACTCTGGCAAAAAGTTATCAATGAATGCTCAATCCAGAGGGAGATTCTGATGAGGAACAGCATACATATTACACAGTCTTTAAGTGTCTCCCCAAAGACTGCTTATTAGTTATAAGAAAGAAAAAAAAAGGAGAATTCATTCAGCGAAATCTGCCAATACACTGAACAGGTTAATCAAAATAAAGATCTCAATAAAGACAGATGACAGATGTGTCTCCAGAGTCACACACTGAGAAAGACACAAGGTTACCTATGCAGTGCTCTGACCAAGCATGCAAGCCCTCAACCTAATCACAAGGAAACGTCGGACAATGAGAAACAGTCTATTAAGCAAGAGGAGAGGGCACTGTATTCTTCAAAATCGGAAAAGACAGAAGATAAAGAAAGGGTGTGGACGTGTTCCACATTAAAGAAGGCTAAGAGACATGACAACTAAAGAGCAGTATCTACCCTGCTGTGATTACAAAGGAGAATATCCCTATTTTAGGAAATACATACTGAAGCATTTTTGAAATAAACAGCCAGGATACATGTAACTTACTGACAGATAATTAAGGAAAAAAATTGTCGGCCTACAGGTAAATCGCTAGAGTGAAAATGATACAGCAAATGGCGTAAGATGTTAACAACAGGTGTTGCCCTGAGTAAAGAATATATGAGTATTCTTTGTACTACTTTTGGAAAACTCTTTATAAAATTATTTTTTAATATTTTTAATATTTTGGAATTATGTCCACATTAAAAGTTTTAAAAACATAAAAATAAAAAATTGTAAAACCTCCAAGGCTTCCCACAAAAAACTGTAAAAAGGCTTTAAAATAAATTAAGGGCTGGGGTTGTGGGAAGCCCTATCAATACAGATGTGAAGAAAGCTCTATCATTAACAGCAAATGTAGAAGTTCCTTCAGCCTCACTCTGAGAGCATGGAGCCTGTCCATGCTCACACAAGCGCCTTTTACCCGAGGACCTAGGAAAAATAAATAATACAACACCACAGACGTTTTTATCACTAAACTAAAATTACAAAAATAGTCAACACTGGGCCGGGAACGGTGGCTCACGCCTGTAATCCCAGCACTTTGGGAGGCTGAGGCAGGAGCATCTACTAAAAATACAAAAAAATTAGCCGGGCATGGTGGTGGGTGCCTGTAGTCCCAGCTACTCGGGAGGCTGAGGCAGGAGAATGGCGTGAACCCAGGAGGCAGAGCTTGCAGTGAGCCGAGATCACACCACTGCACTCCAGCCTGGGCTACAGAGCGAGACTCCACCTCAAAAACATACATACATACATACATACATACATACATACATACATACATACATACATACATAAAAATAGTCAACACTGTAGGAGCATGGTAAAGGTGAGAAAGGAAGATGAGTCAGCACATACTACTGCATTTTCTGAATGCCTACTGCAGGTGAGGGGCTGACTGAGGTGCTTTGCAAATACTGCAAGGTATCTTTATCTCCATTTTAGAGATGAGAAAGCTGTAGCCGAGAGTATTTTTTAAATCTTGCCTTTAAAAAGCTAGAAGGGGTCAAGCGGGAATTCAAATCCAAGTAGGATTCCTAAGTCTGTATTCTTTCCTCTATATCCTGACCTTGAAGTTAAGAGGAGACACAGTTAGGTGTGGGGAAAAAAGAGATACGTGTAAAGAGATCATTGTTGATAGAAGGAACATGTTACATAGCAAGCAAGTCGCAGGCATCGAAGGACTACAGGGTATAGGAGAAAGAGGGTGCTAAGAACAAGAAAGATGGAAGAGTCTGGAGGTGGAGAAGGGAGGAGAAGCAAGAGGTCTGCTTACACTCACGGTAAACCCAAACCCAAACGTGTTGCTTGGGTCCAAACGTGTGACAAAGTCAGAGAGATGTGCAATTATGTGCACTGCGCTGTACATGTTTCTCTTCACCACCTGAGGCTTATGGAAAGCAAAAACTGTCTTTTTGAAACTTCACACAAGGCCCATCTAGCATTAGGAAGTTGTTCCATAACTGAGTAAATAAAGATGGCAGAGATGAGCTTATGCCGAATATTAATGGCAAGCCAAAAGATTCATACTTGAACCTGTGTAGGCGACGAAGAAAAAAAAAAAGACAGTCTTATGTGGTATATACTGAAAGAAAAATGGGGGGTGAGGGGGTGTTAAAGGCAGCAAATATTCCAGAAAGATTTCTCTCACAGTCACGTCCTAAGAAGGAAAAAGAATAGAGACAAAGAAACCATTTGGAGAAAATAATACAAAAACACAATGTGAGAAAGTTAAAAGTGCTTAACTGCCATGGTAGCAAGATCTACCAATCTAAAAAAATAATAAATGTGAGAAAAAAATTCTGTTAAAAATAATTTGGGCCAGGCGCAGTGGCTCATGCCTGTACTCCCAGCCCCTGGGGAGGCCAAGGTGGGAGGATCTCTTGAGCCAGGAGATGCAGACTAAGTGAGCTATGATCACACCACTGCACTCCAGCCTGGGACAGGGCAAGACCTTGTCTCTCAAATTAACAATAATAATAATTTGATGAAATATGACAAGTGACTGGATGGGACTGGAAGATAGTAAGCCTCAAGCAGAATTAAGAGAAAAAGGGGTATCTCTAAGGAAAACTAGTGGCTTGTGGGAATAATTTGTGATAAGATGATGGGGCTTTGAATCTTAAGTTTCATGTATCAGCAGGGTAGACAGGATAGATATTTGTACTTATTCTATATCCAACAGGTAGGTAACAGGGCAAGCTGTCAAAAAAGGGCTAGCCTGGCCAGTCAGATCTGAAAGTCAACCTGCACTAAGTTAAGAACTAAAACCTTGACTGTAGATGAGTTTGTGGTAATAGAGAGCCAATGACTAGACGCTGGTGTTCCAGCAAGGGAAGGCAGTAAGAAGAAATGGATCCAGAGAAACAGGCCAAACAAGGAAGGGCCAGTCCGAGAAGAGGAGAAATCAGAGAAGAGAGGATCAGCAAAGCCAAAAGAGGCAAGGATATAAAAGTCTTGCAGCATTAAAAGGAATGACTTTTTAAAAAGAAATCCTCAGAACAAACAATGGAAGAGAGACGTCTGAAGAAAAGCAACAAACTCAGAAATTTTTTTTTTCTCTAGCCTTAAATGGGTTTTTTCATAACATATCTTTCATCTATCTATTCCTGTGCCTTGAACCCAGAAATGGCCCTATGGACCCAAGAGGAACCCAAACTCAAGCGCCACCTAAAAACATGGGATTTGCCATATCTCTCTCTATTAATGGCAGTCACAAGTGAGCACTCTGCAGCCAAAACTTAAAATACTTGTTTCCCATTTCAAATGTTTCAGAAAGCTCATTTGCTAAACCAAAATAATGATCCCTTCCCAGATTCATGATACACTCAATTCCACACCATTTAAAATATTTCAGAGTTCTCTTTATTTTAACCACCTATTGTTAATAACACCCTTGGTAACTATGAAAGCCTTTCAGGATGATACAATCTTGACAAGATATAATTGTTCATCTGTGATAATCAGGTGGAAACCTAGCCTGCATTAATTAAAGGATTTTCAAATGACTTACTGCTAGCAAATATACATATAGAACTGCCATCCATTACTGGGATCATTTTTTAAAATACAAACATTATATGAAATCATGTTGACAGGTAAATGAGTCTTAAAATATCTGAAAATATTTTGTTACTTTAAACATTTCCTTTTATTATTACTTCAATAATTGTATACTAGCAATAAAATGTATTACTAATATAATTATACATTTATTAGTAATATAACAAATGCTATATTAATACATATACTGACTTCTCTAGGTACAGGGAGATGAATGCCCAAACTCTACCTTGAAGAATATGACCAAAAAGACTTCTGTGGAGAAATGTCTAAGCCCAGTGCTGCTCAAAGCTCAAGACAGATCACCTCGAGCAGGCGCATACTCTCTGAAAGCTTATGCCATTACAGTGAAGCTGGGCCAGAGACTGCATCTCATTCATCTTTGTACACAGCCTCTTCAGGGAAAAAGACACATAAGGTAACAATTGCAGCTGTATCAAAAGCATAGTAAGAGAAGCAAGGACCAGGGACTGCAGGGATTAGAGGAGGCCCTTGACTGCCTGAGCAAAACGCAGGGCAGGGAGGCCTCCCACAGTCTTCTCAAACACAGGTCACCTGGAAGGAGCCTGAGGAATACCGATTCTCTCTCACCTGATTTCAAATTATGTTTGAAAGAAATGATATTTGCAACCAGTGGACAGGGGTGACATGTCGGAGGAGGTGACAGAGGCTACAAACTAAATCCAAAACCATTCAGCTCTCAGACCTGAGAGTTTCTAAACACTGGATATAATGACGCTTATAAAATGTCATGTAACACTAGCAAACCCCAAAGAAACACAAACCTTGTATTTCTAACTTTGTGAATACCCTGAAGTGCTATCCCTTGGCCTTCCTTACATCGGAATTCATTCAAAAGGAGAATATCACAAAATTTAATTATAGGATAAATGAGTTACATTTGTGCTGCCTAATTTAGTGGAGTGCTCTAGAAAATGAAAGACAAATTCATAAGGCACGGTCACAGCAAAGCAGTACCCCAAGGCTCCTTAGGATGAGAACGTAAATATATGATGTTATTGCCATCAAGCTAGAAAACAGAAATCCTACCAGAAGAAAAAAATCTAAAATCCTAAATCACTGAACAGAGCTATCCTGTTCTGTTGGTCCTTTAGTATTACCTCAAAGTAGCATGAATGGCTCTGAGTAGCTTCGTTTCTCTGGGAAATCAATACCATTACAAAGCAAGCATATGCACAAAAATCTTTAATATTATTTAGCACTCACTATTTCTTAAATGCAACATGCTACTCGGTAACAAGGTATCAGCCGCCACACATGGTAGTGAAATATAAAAATGGAGGCTGGGAAACAGAATCAGAATCAGTCACTTAATAGCTACAGACCCCTGATAAGAACCACTTGAAACTCATTTTGTCAGCAAAATGAATTCATTCATTACAAAACTTACTGTAATATGTGTCAGACACTGTTAAGAACTAGGCCTCAAACATGAAAGACAAGGCCCTTTGCCCTCATGGAGCTTATATTTTAGCAGGTAAGACAAATTATAGAAAGTAACATTAGAGGGAAAGTTCTATTAGAAAGAGTAAGACAGCATAAAGGGGTTAAAGTTTGTCTGAAATAGGGATGAGAGGATACTTTTCCTGACAGGGTGGTCTGGAAAAGCTCCTCCAAGGAAGGCAAATTTGAGCTGAAACCTGAATGAAGCAAGTTAAGGGAAGATAAAGAAAGCAGTCAAGGCAAAGGGAATATATCGAGTGCAAGGGAAGTACAAACTCAGCGTGTTCAAAAAATAGCAAAGGTCAGTCTGGAGGAGCAAATGAATGAACACTGGATGGAAGGCGAGGTTGGAATATGGATTTTTTTTTCTTTTTCTTTTTCTTTTTTAGTGTGATGCTAAACCATTGGAGGGTTTTGAAAAGAAGAGTGACATGATTCATGTTTCAAAGGATTACTGTGGTTCCTCTGCGGAGAACAGGACAGAGCAAGGAAACTACAGAAAGACCACTTAGGAAGCTATCAAGAGTGGTCCAGATGAAACACGATAGAGGACTCAGCTAAAGAGCCAGCAGTACCACCACCCCCGTCAGAGGGCTGGAATTCCCCACTTCAACCCCTTACCTTTAAAAAAATCTACACAAGGCCAGGCACGATAGCGCACGTCTGTAATCCCAGCACTTTGGGAGGCCGAGGCAGGTGGATTGCTTGAACCCAGGAGTTCAAGACCAGCCTGGGCAACACAGCAAAACCCCATCTCTACAAAAAATACAAAAATTAGCCAGACACGGTAGTGCATGCCTGTATCCCAGCTACTCAGGAGGCTGAGGTAGAAGGACTGCTGGAGCCCAGGAAGTCGAGGCTGCAATGAGCCAAGACTGTGCCACTGCTCTCCAGCCTGGGTGACAAGAGTGAGACCCTATCTCAAAAAAAAAAAAAAAAAATTACACAAAGTGCCTGAGGAAAAGAGAGGCTCCATCAATATTACTCAGGGCTCATTCCTGCTTGAAATGCTTTGAGAATATCTTGCTGAAACCCATCTGTAAAGATATGGCATCAAATGGACAAAGCAAAATGCCACAGAGAAAAGGAGGAGGGACCTACACCATCAAGGACAGTTTAGGAATATATCCTTGCCAGGATCCATGGCCCCCATTCCTGCCACGCCCTCATGGGCAAGTCTCAGAAGAAGCACACTGAAAACTTTTCCAGCAGGTGCCCACCTGTGCCCAGGGAGCACCACCAGTCTGATGTGTGGGAGTGGAGGAGGGTGATTAGGTGCTACTGCCATCATATCCTACTCCCACTTGCCGCTGCTTTGGGGATGTCAGTTCTAAAGGAAGCAAGCTGATTACACCAGTCCCCAGAAGCTCCCATTCTTGGCCACACGACCACCACCTGTCATCAGGTGTTGGTGACATCCAAATTGGTTGACTAAAAGAATGTCATGCCCTCTGTCTTGGGGCAAAGAGAAACTTGAAGTTAGGTGACTTGTTCTGTCTTTGCTGTGGTTTCTAGACACAAGGAAAAGGCAGTCAGCTTCATGCCATACAACACCAAATGTTTCCTTTTTAATCCCCATTTCATCTAATATCAGGATTGGCAAACTTTATCTGTGAAGACTCAGATGGTAAATATTTTCGGCTTTGTGGGAAATATGGTTACTACTGCAACTACTCGTTTCTTATGTTTTTTTTTTTTTTGGTAGCACAAAAGGAGCCATAGACAATACATAAAGAAATGGGAGTGACTGTGTTTCAACAAAACTTTATTTACAAAAACAGGCAGCAGGCTAGATTTGGTTCACAGGCTGTAGCTTGCCAACCACTAGTCTAATATAACCTTTTAGTACAGTTTTCCAGCAGTTCACACACCCCCAAAGACATCAACAAAAAACAGATTAAGACCCCCTGATTTAGTAGAAGAAACTCATGCCAACATACAGTTACAGTGATATAACAGGTGCTATAAATAGAAACATTTCAAAAGTGCTATGGCCTAACAGAAGATAAAGAAAGAGAAGGAAGAAAATTTGCCAGAGGAGACTACAAAGGCTACCCAGAGAAAGTAAAATTTATGAATTTCAAAAGCCATGTAAGAGCTGACTAGGAAGACAAGAGATAAAGTCACTCCAAGGAGGGGAGAGTATGTACGAAGGCACAGAACTGAACAAACACGGTGTATTCAAGGACTAACGGACCATGGCTTCAGCATAGGGAACATGGGCATAAAGCAGTGCCAAGGATCAGCCTTTATATTCTAGACCAAGGGGGCCCATGAAACGATTAATAACATCATCTGTCCCATGTGCTTTCTGTACATGGTTGGTGAAGGTCAGGCAAGACGATCATAAACAACTGTTTTATATAACACTAATAACCATTGGTCTTCATATGTCCCCTTAGCAGTGAGGTCATCCCTGACCATCCTCAATGAAGTATGAGCTCTCCTACCCTAACTCTCCTTATCTATCTTGCCCTGCTTTATTTTTTCCATAGCATCATTTACTTTCTGACACGTATTTATTCATGTATGTCTATTTAATACATTATATATTATACCTATATGTATATATAAAATTCTAAAAGCATGTATTTATGTATTTATCTGAGTTCCCCTTTCCTCCCAACTGTTACGTAAGCTTCCTGAGAGGTGGGACCATATTTGTTTTATTCAATGCTACATCATTGCCTAAAGGTATGTCTCGTTGTTCTAGGTGCTCAATAAATGTTGGCCAAATGAATGCACGAATTCCTTTCTGGTCTCTCTTTCTGTAAACAATCTTTCTTTTTTTGTTGTTTTTGAGATGGAGTCCCGCTCTGTTGCCCAGGCTGGAGTGCAGTGGCACAATCTCAGCTCACTGCAACCTCCACTTCATGGGTTCAAGCAATTCTCCTGCCTCAGTCTTCCCAGTGGCTGGGATTACAGGTGCCCGGCTAATTTTTCTGTATTAGTAGAGACGGAGTTTCACCATGTTGGCCAGACTGGTCTTGAACTCCTGACCTCAAGTGATCCGCCCACCTCCTCGGTCTCCCAAAGTCCTGGGATTATAGGCATGAGCCACCACGCCCGGCCTGACAATCTTTCTACAATTCATCTTAAATACTTAAGATGACTGGATGAGAAATTAATTAAAAGATCTAGAGTCTAATGGTCTGGGTATGCCAAATTTTTAGCTCAGTTGCCCTTAAGAAGTCACTTAAAATATAACTAAAATTCAAAAAGACTAATGACAAGAAGAGCACCTAACAGCTTCACCCTTATTTATTTAACCTAGGGGCTTTTCCTATATCTGTCTCAGCAGGAAAATACTAAGATAGTATCCACATCCCTCAAAATAAAACGCATTCTTGAAACTAGCCAACAAAGCCATTTTTATAAATCTTTCTTTAAAAGACACCTCAAAGTATCTCATGCAACACGAATAGAAATCCACCAAGAAATTTATCGACTTTTACATAAAGTCATTCCAGATAAAGACTTAGGTTGACTTCACTGTTAGAAAATATTAAAGAATTTTATTTGGCATTTAAGGTTACTTTTTATTTAAACTAGGCTAATCTTTTGCCCAATAAAGATACTGGCCAATGAAATCCCTATAACCTGTCTTCTTTTTTAATCAGGTTGTGTGTATTCTCCTGCCAAAACCATACCCCTTTCTCAATGCCAACACAAAACTATTATTTTAAATACTACTACCAGTCATAGCCCAAATTCATACTGTCTTCCAGCTTCATAATTTTGCAACACTAAGATACAGGATAATTCTTAAAGATGTCCAGGCACCACCTATTTGGTCCATTAAAACAAAGCCAGCAGATGGCGCTCAATAAATCTACTCAAGTTCTGTGTCTATGGAGTAGTTTTAGAGATTGTTCTAACAGGGATTTCAGACAGAAAAGAAATTAAAACTACTCAAGTTTGGATATAATTTAATGTATGGTCCCTTTAATGAGAAGTATTCCTTAAAAGGAAGAGAGTGTTGAAAAATTGTAAGAGTGTAAGTTCTTCTTGTTTCAATGTACAATTCTCCCTCTCAAGTCTATTTTTGTCCAGCAAAGCTAAATTGTTCAGATGGTGCTGGCTTTCAAACACATGTGCGCACACACACACAGAGAGTGAGAGCAAAAGAGAGGGAGAGAGAGAGAGATGGGAGAGAGGGGGAGAGGGGGAGAGGGTGCGAGGGAGAGCAAGAGCGAGAGAGCAAGAGAGAGAGAGCGAGAAAGAGCAAGCGAGAGTGTCTCTACCTCTGAAAAATGTTTCACAACTCTCTGGAAGTGGTAGAATTATTAATTAGGTCAATACTTAAAGAGACATTCTCTCTTTTGCTAACAAAACCATATATTTGGCTAAAATGCAGACATGTAAGGATTTTTTTTTTTTTTTTTTTTTGGAGACAGGGTGTTGGGCCCTGTCACCCAGGCTGGAGTACAGTGGTGCGACCATGGCTCACTGCAGCTTCGATCTTCCAGGCTTGAGCAACCCTCCTGTCTCAGCCTCCCAAATAGCTGGGACTATAAATGCACGCCACCATGCCTGGCTAATTTTTTCTTTTTTTTTTTTTTTTTTTTTTTTTTTTTTTTGTAAAGACAGGGTCTCACCACATCGCATAGGCTGGTCCTGAACTCCTGGGCTTAAGCTATCCTCCCACTTCAGCCTCCCAAAGTGCTGGGATTACCAGCACGAGCCACTGCGCCCAGCCTGTATTAATTCTCCATAAAAATTTAATGAAAGAGTTAGAAGTGATTAGCTAAAATCAATCTCTCTGGCTCCTCATTCCTCGCTCCTTCCCCTCTCCTCTCTCCTCTCCCAGAGAGCAGATGGTTGAAGATTATACTCGGCTACTTTGTTGCTGATTGAAAAGGTGACATTCTGTCATTAAAATCTGAAGATCTGACTTCTGCTCTCACCTATATCTTACAGTTATTCACCTAGCTTTCTTGGTTATTTATTATCCTCAGTTCTCTTGTTTTTCTCCAAAGTCATCAATTAAGTTGGGACTCCAGGCTTCTAAGCTGGCCTCCACACACTGGGAAGCACAGAGTCTCCAAAATACAATCTGATCAAGCTACTCTCCTGATAAAGCCCTATGCCTGAGCATGTCCCTTCAACACACAGCACACAAAGCCCCCAACAAACCTAGCCCTCACTGACCCCTCCAGCATCATCTCCCTCACAGAGCCTCTCCTCAAACACTTTGCTACAAGTATACCAAGCCCCTGAGAATTCATGAACACATGTTCAAGGCTCACTCTTCCTACCTGTCTCACTACTCGGCCATGCTGCTCCCTTTATCTGTCACACTGATGATTAGAGCGAGAGAGTAAAGCATGAAATACAATGCCTTTCTTTTCTAAGTAGAAACCTGGGCCCCTTCCTCAGATGAAGGGCCTCCTTTACCTGATCTAATACATACTATGCCTCACCCACTGCAGGCAGATCAAGGTGCCCTCTGATTCCATGAGTCCATCAGGTTTGCACAATCGTCATCTCTGCACCAGCAATGCCTAAGTCACGGAGCCCAGCAGGTCAAGTTGAATCACCTCTGGTCACACATCATTCCTAACCCAGGGTACAACATGCTGAGACCATGGAAAAGAGACATTCAAAGTTGGGAAGTGGGACACTGTCAACTACAAGATTAAGAAGGGAAGGTACCAATACAGAATGGACAGCATTGCTTTGGGGGCTATAGTACCAGAGGAAGACCACAGGCTTTGAAATCACGTGACTTAGAATACCAGCTTCCCTTGTTACCAGCTGTGTATTTAAAACTGCTGATTCTTTTAGGAGCTACCTCAAATTCCCTGTAAGAACTCCTAGATTGTAAACTCTAAGAGGATGGAAATTATTATAATCCCATATCTGAAATGCATGAAATAATGGCTCTTGTATCAAATGCTTACTATGTGCCAGGAGTGTCTTAAATGTCTTACACAAATTAAGGTTGCCATTTAATCCCCTTACCACGACATAAAGTAAGTACTAAAGTATTTTAACAAGGTATACCAAGTACGTAGCATACACTAGGTACAAAGAAAATGTTCCCATCCATTCCCAAGTAAATAGAAACATCCCACATTTCATAATCTCCATGTCTCTACCTCTCTTAATCTCTTCTAGTAAAACACACTATTTCTCAAACAGAGCCAAATAAAGTATGGTAATAAAATTGATTACTTTTTGGTTTTACTTAATAATAGGTGAAGAATTTTAACTAAATGGCAAATAAGTCTTACGAAAGAAACTGTCTGAAAAGGTGTCATATGGAAATTTAGGAGAAGAAAATCCATCTAATTAATTTTAACGGTAAACCAGCTTTTTTGTAAAGCTGGTTAAGCTTTCTGATTTCTAACGAATAGTTACATGAGTATCAAACAACCCACAGTACTTAACCACAAAAGTAATCAGAAGAAAATTCTATCATTTCAGACATTATCACTTTTCTTATCTAGTGTTACCAGTAAAACCATTTCACAAAAACACGTATTTTAAGTTTTCCTTTTTAAGTGTCGACATTTTTTAAAGAAATAAGCCAACTTTATGAAAATCTTTCTAAGGGATATTACACATTTCCAGGCCTAAGAAGGCCTACTGATAAAGGTGTGCAGGAATATTAACTGAGCAACTGATACGTATTAAGATTTTTACATGTAGGAATGACATACTTAACTGCTTAAGATTAAATTACATATGTTAAATGCTTCTCAAAGTAACTGATGTTTAGTAAGTATTCAATAATTGCCAAATATTGCTGTCACTTTCTAAATCACATGTAGTGCTCATGAAAAATCCTGTAATATACATACTACCCTATATTACAGAACTTTTAAGATGAAGACTCTAAGCCTCCCACAGTAGGGCAGGAATGTAAAGCTGTGTCTACTTGACTCCTAAGCACATACACTTTCTCTACATGGGTTCTCAAAGTGTTGGATCACCTGGGAACTTACCAGAAATGCAATTTTTCACCCCATCCCAAACCTAGTAAATCAGAAACTCTGGGGTGTGGCCCAGCAATCTGGGTTTTAATAAGCCCTCCTGGTGACCCAAATGCATGCTCAAGTTTGAGAACCAGTGACCCCACAGCACCATGCTCCGCCGTACCAGTTACCACAAAGGTCTAGTGTCTGTCCCTAAATGGTTCCCCTTCTTCCCAAC
Organism: Homo sapiens; assembly: GCF_000001405.40. Classification (NCBI taxonomy): domain Eukaryota; kingdom Metazoa; phylum Chordata; class Mammalia; order Primates; family Hominidae; genus Homo; species Homo sapiens. The sequence goes on along the minus strand of NC_000015.10, from coordinate 85,501,925 downwards.
AAATTCCACTTTTCAGTGTTTCCTTCTGACTTTAATAATCTCACCAACATCCTTATTTCACAAATCCTAGGCAATAGCCCGCTTCTTCCCTACACCATGCAGGGTTAAACGCTGACACAGAGGAGCAATATACTGACATCATTAAAAGCCTAGGTTTCTGAAGAAAGGTCTGGTTTGAATTCTAACTCTGTTCTTACTAGCTGCATGACCTCAGCAAGTGACAAAAGTTCTCTGATACTTTCCTCTGCTTTAAAATGTAGAAAAAAAATAGTTATCTCATGAGATCATTAAGATGATTAAATGAGAAAAATTAATGTAGGACATATAGCATAGTGGATAAGCACTAGCAGGTATGGAATAAACAGAGGCTTAAGATCAGCGTTTGAACACAATACACATTTCTGCCAACCTCTACTGCATACAAATGCACACATATACAGTATGGCAAATGAAAAATCAACGTCCCATACTCACCAGAAAAACTGAAATATCGGTACTTCATTTTTAAAAACACCTATCTCTGTCTCACGGTCAAGGAGAAGAATTACTTTGTATTCTGAGACTTAGCAAGATATGGGCAACACATAATCACGAGTATATGGTGGCAAGAATATAATAAATTTCACAGGGATCTGGAAAATGAGGATTTGTGGAGGAACAATACTGGCTGTAAGAAATACCCACAGTTGTAGCTTCTTAATATTATGCTGCCTGGGATCCCTAAACCATACAAGACAGGACAAACTACACAATAATACACTTCACTCAAAGTAGAATTTAGGAACACAAGAGGTGATTGAGAAGAAAATGGTGTTCACGAGTGATGGTAGGTGAAGATCACCCCTGGCCTTCTTTAACAAATTCCGGAAGATGACAGGAATGGTAGGAAATACTCCCACAATCAGATTGGTGGTAGTCCCATGAACCAAAAAAGGAATGTACCATCGCCTGAGCAGTAAGATAAAACTCACATTTCCTTCTGTGGACAAAACAAAGAGAGACAGCTGAGAATTCCACCCCAGCCGCCAGATGCTCTGTATATCACATGGGGTCAACAGTTAATCCAGACACAGAGCTTTGTGAAGGGCTCCAAAGACACCAGAGCCAATAGCTCTTTCCTGGTTTAAAAAGGGTAACAAACAAACACATTTCTGGGAGTACAGGTGACATTCTCTATACTTAAAGATAAATACCCTAAGTTACAGCCCCCACATAAAAGGATCCAAAAGGAAATAAGCAGAATCTCTGGGGGGGAAATGTGTCTGAATGAGGAAAAAGTACTAAAGATGTGCATCACCAACCGATCAATCAATAAATTCGTGTATCCTCCAGAAAAATGTAATTTCTACCTCCGTGCTGATATAAATAAATGTTCCCAATGTTGTACTTGAAGGGAGCTATTTATAGATTTCTGAATTATAGATTCAGTGGGCTGACTTCACGAATCTAGCTAATAGTCTCATCTCAGGTGACAGAATTTCCAAAGAGAGCAATGAAAATGTTACAATCAACATACTAGAACTTTAAAATATAAATCTTCCTGTCTCAAACCTAATTCATAGGTTTGTCAGACCAATAAAATGAGATTTGTGTAGTAAGAAGCAAACACAGAGTGTTCCAAGTAAATACCCACACACCACACGGAAGCACTAGGCTACAGTGGTTGAAATCCGGTTTTTCACCTAGTATCAGTTCCAGGTTTTCACTAGGAGAGCACCTCTTAGAGGCTCTACCCAAAGATCAAAGCAAAGTGACACATTGTCCCAGATCACAAAATCCCCCTGTGTGGTTTCATTTATTGGCTGATGAACTACAGTAACCTTCCCTTTGGGGTCATAAATCCTAACCAAAAAGAAAACTCTCATCTTTGGCAAATCAGACATTTATAATCATCCATGTATGAGGCAACACCCTTTCCCAAAGAACAGCTTTAATTCTACTTGGAAACAATAAAAAACACTAGCATTATGATGCACAAAGTACTGTGATAGAAGCTGAAGTAAAAATGAGAGCAATAAAATAATAATTCAAATACAAAGCCCCTACCCTCAAGGAACATAATAAACGGAAAAGGCATGCATACAAATGTGCATCTGAAGTGCTCAAGCTCTTATTACAAAGTCTGCACAGAGTAGCCGGGGCATAGGAGTAGGAGTGATGGATCCACAGGAGGATGAAAGCTCAGGAGGGGCTCCACAGAGACAAGTGGCAGGAAATGAATCCTGAAAGATAAGTGTTTTTCTTTATGCATGTGTTAGGGATTGGCAGGGCTCGGGGGTGCAGTTCAGAGAGAGGAAGAGATGCCGTTAACAGTTTCACATGGCTGAAGGCTAGCTTACATAGAGTTGGAATTGGTTTACCTGAAGTACCAATGACTCAGCACGGGATCCATGGCTAGGGATTTTTAAACTCCAAATGCTGACATCAGAATACTGCTTTCATTTATGCTGTCCAAAAATCAGTCTCAGCAGCCCGTCTACAACCTCATTTCAAAACCTACTGCTCTTACCAATTCCATCTGCATCATAATCTGCGCTGCTGCTACTACTGCAAAGCATATGGGGCTTTAATTATCTACAATCATACAAGGAATAATTCGTGAAAAATTCTAAGTGACATAAAAATATCATGAAAAAAATGTGAAGTGCTAATTCCCTTAATTATCCACTGAAAATCACTGCTATCTCTTACAAAGAGATACCCAACCCTGTATTTGATAGTACACACCTTGATATTATTCTGAGTCAATAACGCAGTGATAATTTACTCAGGAAGCTAGCCTTTAAAAAAGAAAAGCCATAGATCTGTCCTTCTGAAATAATATCTTACTTAATATATACACTTTCCCATGCATCTTTACAGGCAACCACTGCTGATGGGTTACACAGTCAGCCGTGTTGAAAAATGTAAATGTACCCATACAGTTCCAATTTAATTCATAGGAGGCTTTTCAAAACTATCCTCTTTGTTCATTTGGTTTATATGCTTAAACTTTGGAGTGCATCAGAATCATGTGAAGGGCTTATTTTAAAGTGACTTTTTGGGCCCCACCCTCTGGCATTTAGGTCTGAGATGGGGCGTAAACACCTGCATTTCTACCAAGTTCCTAGTGGTGCTCATGCCTGTGGCTGCTGGTTGCGGACCTCACACCAAGAGCCAGCGCCCTAGAGAAGTCCAGATGGCAGTCATTCCAGGTCACCCCACATACCAATTACCACTGAGAGTAAGCAAGTTTTATAGGATGTATGTCTTACATTTGAAAAAGAGATGGTAAATAGAGTTCAGTGCCAAAGACAACCTCTAAATGTAGATGTGATGTAAGCATCAAGCTTCAATAGTATCAACCTGGGGAGCTGATAGTGAAACCATCCTCACGTGCAGAGATGAAATGGGAAGAGCAAAAGTTTTTAGTTTGAATTACCGCTTCACCTCTTCCTAGCTATGTTCGTTCATCTATAAAATGGATCTCACATGGGTGAGGAGATAAAGTAAGTTACCTTACAAGGAAGGTGTTCAGTAAAAGGTAGTTGCTACCTAAGCTAACAAGGGAAAGAGCTCTCAGCGCAAGTATTTATGCAGAAGATGCAAGACGAAGCCACACAATGTAACTTTACATGCACTATGTCAAAATAACGGGGGTACGTCTCTTTTTAAAACCACCTATATCTAAAGTTTTATCTATGATCTCGCTCAATGTGATATATATATATATATATATATATATATCTCACTTCATTTAATCCTTACTACCACACATTGTTGTAAAAAACATGACTGTTCTCCCTCAGGCTTCCAAGGCAGCTCCTCCTCCAAACTGTTTGCTCATTGATGCTACACCATTCTCCCTCTGTCCCTCACACTAAAACCCTCAGTGGCCATTCTGTGGCTCCTTGAGGTTTTCAGTCATTCTACCAGACAAAATCCATATGTTCTTCCTGCGGAACAGCTTCATCATCCCCAGATCTCATTCTGTGTGCTGTAACGGTGAAGTGATAGGCCTACCTACTTGACAGCCCCTCACTGCTCTCCTTCTACTCTTTATTTTGGGTATGACTTTCATCATGCTACTATTTGCCTGGTCAAAAGATCTCCAGTTGCTCTTCACACTGTTATCCTGTGTAAAACCCCATACTTCCTTTATCAGTGCTGACCAACAGAATTTTCTGCAATGATGGAAATATTTTCTATCTGCAATCAGTATGGTAGCCACTAGCTATGTGTAGCAACTGAGCACTATTTGATGAAGTGAATTTTTAATTTTATTTCACTTTAATTAAACAGTCACATGTGGCTAATGACTACATTACTAAACAGAGCAGCTATATATAATCTCATCTCCAGGTATCCTTCAATGTGAACTGCCCACCCTGGTCAAGCAAAGTCTCTCCCCACAACTGATAACACTCTTCCATGCCTTACTCCAAAGACTGTGCTTCCTCCTCTCACTCTGCTCTTCCCAGTCTCCACAGCCTATCTATCCAGGCTGGTAGAGCCCCCACCTTTTCTGAAAGCTTCCCAATTACATCTGCCAATATTCCATTCCTCTCTCCCTGCCATGAACAATCACTGTTTGCACAGCTCGTCTAGCAGCACTCCAACAGGTATTCCTTGCACTGTAATTTATCTACGCATGCATCTGAGCCCCTTCCTCCCCAGTGAAAGAATCTATTCCTCTAAGATCAAATGTCCCATTCACCTAATAGGTGCTTCACAAATACTTGTTTTAAATGAATTAAAGGTACAGAGTGATATATTTTAATCTTTCTTGGACAGCAAGACTCCTCTTCACTAGTACCAAATGGAAATTTTAATCCCCTCACTGTTATGTGATAGCTTGGCAAACACCCAGTTATTGAAAAAGTATCCTGTAAAAAGGCTCTGAAAAGTCTTTGACCTTTGTACCTTTGTCTGTTCTAAAAATGCCAAGGAAAAATGAGAAAATACTACTTACAAATGAAAAGCCCATTAACTTCAAATTCAAAGCAAGTTTCTGGAAACTGATTAAAAAGTCCAACAGAAAGAAACTGAAATTCCTGCTCTGTAAAACCATCAAAAGCTAGACGGAGGAACCCTTGATTTCCTTATTCTTCTGGCAGGTCTCAGATCTGGCTGGACAAGGCCACCAGCCCACAGATGCTGGAGCAGACCTATCAGAAATGTATTGTTAAGGCAAAGGCAGGTAATCCATTTAAGAGATCAGGAGGCTGATAAGGCTCTTTGTATAAGCAAAATGTATCCTAACAGCCAAGTGAGAAGCACAGCCAGGTTATTTCAGAGCCTGCTGTGGAAATGCATTTCCTAGGAAGAACGATAAAACTGTGCCATTACCAAATTAGTCTTCCCTATAAGGAGGCAACTGAGAACACTAAGCTGAGGTAACCTAATTTCTGTGGCCCTTCAAAAATTTGATTATTTATGCAAACTACACTTGTTCAGGAATAAATTTTTTTAACTGATAAAAATTTTAAAACCTCCTCCTCCTAATCACAGTATCTCCGTTTGCATGCTCGTCTTCTGAGGTCTGTTTTAATTAGCATAAACAGAGAAGCAAGTTAATCTACGCGCAAAGTCCAAGTCTTCACGGAGGCTGAAAATGTAAGTCTGGAGTAAACAGGAACCCAATGTGGTGGTAGAAAATCACTCTGATAAGCTTTTCTCGAGATCTAAATGCAAGTCCAGTGGATACGCTCTTCTGATTTCCCTTCTTTAAATGGGCTTTTGAGGGAAAAAAGGAGGTGGGGGTGCTTTGTAGCCACTCACAGGATGCGAACCCTACCATCCACCCTGGCTGTAAAGTGGATACAATAACCAAACCCTATATGTCTATTGTCATGATTAAATCAGGTAATGTGTATTAAGTGCTGGCCATGTTTCCTTGCCAAGAGTAGGTTCTCAACCAATAATAGCACCCTAACTTTTCCTTGGGAAAACAGAACAATATCATAAGGAACGGTCCCTATTCTAATAGAAACAGTTTAAAATCACTGGAGATTTTGTTTTGCACATTTTAAATAAAGAAAGGCATCTAGTGCCAGATAATTCTTTCTTATGGTGCTCTTCTATTATCAGGATGTTTTGCCTCCTCCCAGAAGCAGTTACATGCAAAAACATTTGGTACTGAGAGAAAACAAGAGAGGAAGGACGACATAATCAACCAGATCTGTTGGGGTTCTGGAAATTTGTTTTATAATTGGAATGGCTCTTCCCCTTGAAAATCTAATAAGTGTGGGTTTTATCCCAAACATATGGCAGGTAATGATTATTATCCCATATATTACCTTCGAGCATGCCTTGGAAAAAATTGAAATCTCACATCTGAGTAACTCACTGGCTTTAAAAAGTGTTTAATTTGCAGGGGCAAAAATATGCTGTTTGGCTTTCCTGAGGGAGACACAGAGATGTGTTCAATAGACCATAAATCTTAAGAGACACAAAAAAGCAAGTTTATAACTGAAGAATCTGAGATATGCACCCCAAATTTCTCCTCTTGAAATGTGTTCTTATAGTCGTTTTAGTTAGTGAATTATCAGCATCGAATACAAGCCATCTGAGTCAGTGTTCTGTAGAGCCAGCCACTCTGGAGTTACAGCTGCACAGATCATTAACCACAAGGGTCCAATGCCCACCGAAACATGTTGGAAACCAGTAAAGAACATTATTCTAACACAGAAAAAGCATCAAAGAACCATGGGAACTGAGCTTTACAAGAGAAAGCCTTACTGTTCCAGGGCCTTGGTCTTACTCTCACTGATCCAGAGCTAATGTGTAACCATCCTCTTGAGGAATCTCTAAGTATAAAGATGAAATAGCTGAGCATATACTTTATTGAGATGGCTATTACTGACTTTCCTATATCAAAAGTCACAAAACACATTTTATCTTGACTACTTCCTTCACTATAGAGGAATTTCAAATAATAACTGTAAACTATTTTCCAATGTACCTATAATCCATAAAGACAGTATAATCCTCACCTGTTCACTCCACCAAGAAAGGAGCACAATGCTATCTTTTTGAATATTCCTCTCTTCTTCATCTTCCAATTGCTACATTTTTTTCTCTTACTTAGCCCATTTGTTCTGAATCTTATACTATAACTTCTCTGCGCATGTACTTTGAGTATTAAATTCAAACCAATTAGGGACCTGCCTCCTGTACACCAGATAAGCTAATTATTTGCAGATTCTGCTACCTGTTCAGACCTCTCGTAACCTGCTGTGAAACTGCAGGCAACTTCCCTCAATCTCTCTCTGTAGTTCAATATCCTCACTCTTCCGGAAGACTGGGCTCAACCACTCCTAACATACAATGATTCCTATGACTCATCAAATTCGTCACCAGTCCTGACCTCTCCCATAAAGTCCATTCCTACATGTAGAACTGAGTGTGGGACATTCACTTGGGTGTAGTAAAATGATGAGAGGACAGAGGAAGTGACTTTCTCTGGCATATCAAGTATGGGATTCATCCACGTCGCCTAATTCTTGACAGCTATTATTTCCTTGTACCTTGCAGAGCTTCAGGCCTGGCCTAGACAGATCTCTTCCAGACTAAGCCTGGGGCCTGACATAAGGGGCATCCAAAGACCCTTTCCTCCTCCTTCATCAGAAGTCTAAAACTCTTGTTTCCTTTTCAGCTGTTAGTCTGAGGGAGGATTTATTTACTGTTTCTGGAGTCTAGTTGCTAGGTTGCTAGATCCAGTAGGGCTTAGAGTGTGGGAGTGGTGATAGATAGAGCCCATTAACTTTGATACCTTAGTTAAGGTGGTATTGAATCTCCATAATTTATCTGTTCCAGAGGAATTGGGCATATAAGAGATGGTATGAGTAGTTGTTCACTTTCCCCCTCTAAAGTTGTTTCTGGTTTGGAGGTATCTTTTGCATATTGGATTTTCCTAAAATGGGGTACCCTTGTTCTGCGCAAGGTGTACCCTTGAATATAGGTGAAAGGGCTAATGTCAACAGAGAGCTCATTTTGAGTGATAAATTGCCTGAGGTTTAAGGGGGCATTGTCTCTGCCTTTGTGGATACACATGGTTATTTAAGAAATGTAATACATTTTTTAATACCAACCTTTCCTTCATGTGCTTGGCTTTTTCTTTTATCATCTGACAGCATCCCTCGTCCCTTACCCCGTCTAGGACAAGACTATGCTTTGTATCTTGACAGTGAGGAGAGCTCTAGAGACAAAGGGGGCATGTACTATGTTCATAAAAAATAGAAGCAGTCACATGGCTTGCTATAAACAAATGGCTCAGATTATAACTCCCAAAAGAACTAAGATAATTCAGGACTGGAGAGATATAGGCACTATTTCTAGTACGCTTCTTCAACTAGGTAAGATATTATCTCACAGAATGCATCTCTGTAATAAAACTATCAAACACACTCAGCTGTACTTCACAGGGATGCTGTAAGGATTTCCTTACAGTTTCAAAGGTTCCACATGCACCATAAAGACAAGGTTATCACCTTCATTTCCCTGTTGGCCACACCTTCAGTAACAAAGGTGACATCACTAGCTACTCAGGGCCTATGCTAGGCAGATTAATGAATGAAACCTGGGAAACAAATGAGCAATTTTAAGAAAAGTAGCTCTGTCAAAATGAAGTGAATTTCATTAAAATTTTAGTAGTCTTATCTAAACTGTAGTTCATTCACTCACTCAATGAATGTTTACTAAGTGCCTACTATGTTCCATATTAAAAATGGTCATTATAGCTCAGCTGAGTATTACATTTCTTAAATAACCATGTGTATCCACAAAGGCAGAGACAACGCCCCCTTAAACCTCAGGCAATTTATCACTCAAAATGAGCTCTCTGTTGACATTAGCCCTTTCGCCTATATTCAAGGGTACACCTTGCGCAGAACAAGGGTACCCCATTTTAGGAAAATCCAATATGCAAAAGATACCTCCAAACCAGAAACAACTTTAGAGGGGGAAAGTGAACAACTACTCATACCATCTCTTATATGCCCAATTCCTCTGGAACAGATAAATTATGTAGATTCAATACCACCTTAACTAAGGTATCAAAGTTAACACTTCCAATAATTGGAAAAGAATACATCATGTGTCCTCCTAATGTGATACTCCAAGAACATCACTCATGTAGTCCATTGCCAAAATCATGACAAAACATGCTACAAAATAAAATTAAGAGACTAAAGAGATATAATGTGTTTAAATCCTGGATTGAAAAAGGAAAAGGGTGCTATAATGGACATTATTGGGAAAATTAGAGAAATGTGAATATAGACTTACATCATGTAAGAGTATTACATCAATGTTACAATTCCTGTTTTTTGTTAATTATACTGTGGTTATGAAGCAGAATGTCTTCATTCTTAGGAAATATATGCTGAAATATTTAAGGGGAACAGAGTATACTGTTTGCAACTTTCAAATGACTAAAATAAATAAAAATATGTAATACAGAGAATAAGCAAATGTGACTAAATTTAACAAGAGTTGATAGAGGTGAAGTTATTGTATTCTTCTTGTAACTTCTCTGTACATTTAAAGTTTTGTTTTGTTTTTTGAGATGGGGTCTCGCTCTGTAGCCCAGGCTATAGTGCAGTGGTATGTTCATAGCTCACTGCAGGCTTGAACTCGTGGGCTCAAGCGATCCTCCTGCCTTGGCCTCCCAAGGTACTAGGATTACAGGCATGAGCCACTGTGCTTGGCCTTGGAGTTATTTCAAATAAAACCCATTAAATCTTTTAAAACATGAAATGGAAGAGTAAACTTGGGTTACCTATTCTTTAAAAGGATTTTATTTCTGCAAGTCTCTATAATATTAAGTGCTATGACATGTTTGCATCTTATGGAACAGTTGTGGACTTGGTATTTGTAATAAGACATCTTGGTATATAGAAGAATGAAAATGAATTTCAGAGTAACCATTTCTGGGTAAAGCCCCACTTCTGCCATTCACTAGATGAACCGTCTTAACCTTATGTTTCCTTATGTATGACGAAAGTAACGATGCAGCTTTCTCTGCTCTGGGACTGGTAACACTGCTGTGAGCACTGCATGCATTAACGTAAGGCATGCAAATGTGCTTTCTTAACTATGAGGTACTATGCAAACATGAGCTCTTGTTTTTAAGGAGCTGTCAACTAGAAAGGTTACAGGTGATGCAAATGAATTACACAACTGCAGGTAAAGTACCCACAGAAAACTAGAGAATGAAAGGACTACTATTAAATCATATTATACACCACTTATTCAGGTTCACAAATGGAGTAACAGTACCAAGTTTTGAAAATAGTTTTTTTCCTCCCAAAAAGCAATCCAGCCATGAAACAATATAAAAACAAAGAAGTATTCTTTATTACACTGTCCTCTCATAAGAGCCAAATCTGCTAAAATATATATATTATATATAAAATATATAATATATATAATATATAATATATAATAAATATATATAAATATATACATATTCCTCAATTCAAGAACATCCATTTATATCTAAATGTGGATCTTAATGACAACTAGAAAGGACTAAAACTATTTTTTCCTCAAAAGGGTAGTCCAAAATATGTATGTTTAAACTATCTAAGAATCCCATCTGCCCAGGGTCAGCAGATCCACATTAGGATAAATCCCAGTATCCCTAAGAGGTCTGACTTGACCTCAAGCCAGAAGGAGCTCTAATGTTTTCTGAGTACACACAGGGATAGGAGCTGTAGTAGGGTTCAGATGTGAGGGAAGGTAGGCCCAGGGAGATTATCCAGTGGTCTGTTAAATCCTACAAGATCCAGCTTCTTCCTCATCTCCTCCCTAAATCTCCAACCTCATGCAGAAGAGATTGGACCCCTTCCCCTTGCACTCATTAAGCCCCAGCCACTGTTCTGTTCCTCAAACATATTAAGTTACTACTTCTCATTTTAGAGTTTCTGCATTTGTTCCCTTGGGCTAGAACACTTCTAGGAGCTTCACATGCTGGCTCCTTCAGGTCTCAGCCTAAATGACATGCCCCTCAAAGGCCTTCCCTGACCACCCAAGATAAAACAGCCCCTGGTCAGGCACAATCACATCGCCATTTCATTTATTTTCATAGAACTTTTCTTCCTGATATGTTATCTTGCTGTCTTCCTTCTTCTCACTACAATGCAAGTACCAGGAGAGCAGGGACCTTCTGTTTTGTTCATGGCTAAATCTCCAGCATCCAGAACAGGTCTTGGCACAAAGAAGGCACCTGAATAAAAGAATAAATTGCCCAGCTCCAGCCCAAAGTTTACTTCCAATCCTGATGTATAAGTGAAATTAAGAAACACCAGGAACAAAATGTTTAAGGCTAAAATGCAACCCAGGTTTCTGGAACTCCTTTCTTGACTCACTTTGTCTTCTACACCACAGTCCACTATACTAATTCCATCCACTCTTTTAGCTTCTCAAAGAGCTCATCTATTCTTACAGTCACATGGTGTCAAAAGAATCAATTTCTTAGAGAAGACTCAAACGATTTCACTTCAAAACCAACTTCCTTGCTCTGTAGTTTCAAGCACACACCTCCACCTATGAACAGGATACCCATGTGACTTTATTTAACATGTGTAAAGAACAAGATCATCATCTCCTTCTTCTCTATACCCAATGATGGCATCAGCTGTCACTCACACTCAAGTTCTCAATCAACTGTCATTCATGGTTCTCTTTCACTCCCTATAGTCTAATAAAGCATTTGGCCCTGCTGTTTCTTTTGAAATATTTCTTGCATCTGCCACTGCCTCTCCATCTTTCCTCTCTCTAAACAATCCAGGCCCTCATACCAAGAAGGATACTACTAAGCTACTCAGAGTTTTTAGCACTACCACTAAATGGAACTGAAAATGCAATTCTTATGAATTCATCTGGCAATAATCATTACTTTTGTGGCGACTGTGAGAAAAACCCGACTTAGTGATGTAACTAGCTTGCCTAACATAAAGGTTGTACTCATGCAATCAGAGCTAACAGACAGGAAAACCAAGGCATAGCCATATTGAGCTACTGGTCTCCAAAGTTTCAGGCCAGGGTCCTGCACATTTTATGGTGAACATTTCATTGAAAATAATTCATTAAAAGAGCTTAATTGAAACATCCAACAGTACTGCCACCTGTACACTTTGGAACCTTCCTTACATTTTTAACTATTGCAACGTATTCTGGACACATCTTTATTCAAAGTCTGATTAAAATATTTATTTGGAGTCCAGCCTATTTGTCTTAACTGACAGATAAAAGTTCTTCTCCGGGTACAGTGTTTTTCCTTATTTAGCAGCAATATTCTCCCTTCTAATGATGATACTCACCCCTGGCAGATCCCAAATATGATCTAAATGAAAATCTTCACAGTCTTTGTTCTCTTGCTTATTTCTTTGTCCAGGTGCAGAGAACTTCCCCCACCACCCTGCTCAATGAGCCATCATAAAACAGCTACTTTTCCTCACCAAAACAGCATAAATCCCTGCAACTTGACTCAGTTCACTGAGAATCCAATACACTGTTACTCTCCTTTTAAAAAGGAGATAACATATTGCCCCATTAAGTATTACTGTTGATGGACATACTTGAATCCTGAAGTTTAAAGAAGTATTCTTCAGTAGAGCCTGCTCAAGTCAATTAAACACAAACATATACAAAGCACTTAGTGTATTAACTATGTTACTCAGAACTGAGCTGTGCTTCCCTAACAGAATGAAACTTTTTAAAGCTTAACAAGGTTTACAGTGGTTTCTATGACTTAAGTCCAGAAAACAAAGGTTCAATTCACAATTTACCACCAATTAGCTGTGCCATCTTATCACAACATCTTCAGACCTCGTTTCCTCATGTCTAAAAGGGAGAGGTTGAAGCATATATTAGCTAAAGTATTTACTAACTCTAAAGTTCTCAGGCTCCATGATGGCAAGATCAGAGAGTTTCTAACTGACCTAACTGCATTTATCCTTTCCTTCCCAAGTATCCTTTATCACTAATTTTCTCAAACTACTACTCTATTAGTTTTCTACTGCTGTTACAAAAAATTATCACAAACTCAGTGGCTTAAGACAACATAAATTTATTATCATATATCATTTCTGGAAGTCAGAAGTCCAAAATGACTTTCACTTGTTTAAAAATCAAGGTGCCAGCAGGGCTGTGTTCCTTCTAGAGTCTCTATGTGGAGAAAGTGTTCTTTTGCTATTTCCAGCTTCTAGAGCTGCATTCCGTAGCTCATGGGCTCCTTCCTCCATGTTCTAAGCCAGCAGTGTAGCATCTTCAAATCTCTGACCACTGACTCTCCTGATACTCCCTCTCACTCATGAGAACTCCTGTAATTACAACGGGAAGCTCAGATATTTCAGAATAAGCTCCCATCTTAAGATCCTCAACTTAATCAAGTATGAAAAGTTCTTTTTGCCATGTAAGGTAAATATTCACAGGTTCTAGGGATTAAGAAGTGAATAAATTTGGGGAAGCCATCCTTCTGTATAACACAACTACTTATTTACAACTGTTCCCTAACCAAAAACCTTTAATACTCAAAACCAGACAAAGACATCACAAGAAAGCTATAGAACATATCTCTATGTATAGACACAAGAGTCCTCAAAATACTTTCAAAACAAATCCAACAACATATAAAAAAGATTGTGCAGCATTATCAAATGATACTTACCTCAGAAATGCCAGGTTGCCTTAACATTAAAAATTCAACCAAGGTAGCCTGGCAACACAGCAAGACCTTATCTCTAAAAATTAAAACAGGCCAGGCAGGATGGCTCATACTGTAATCCCAGCACTTTGGGAGGCCGAGGTGGAAGGATCACTTGAGCCCAACCTGGGCAGCATAGTCAGATCTCGTCTCTACAAAAAATAAATACAAATAGCTGGGCATGGGTGCACATGCCTGTGGTTCCAGCTACTCAGGAGGCTGAGGTGGGAAGAGCATTTGAGCCTGGGAGATCGCAGCTACAGTGAGTCATGGTCGCGCCACTGCACTCCAGCCTGGGTGACAGAGCAAGACCTTGTCTCAATAAATACATAAATAAATAGCCAGGCATGATGGCGCACACCTGTAGTCCTAGCTACTCAGGAGGCTGAGGTGGGATGATCCCTTGATCCCAGGAGTTCCACGATGCTGTGAGCTATGATCATGTCACTGCACTCCAGGCTGGGTGACAGAGCAAGACCTTGTCTCAATAAATACATAAATAAATAGCCAGGCATGGTGGCGCACATCTGTAGTCCTAGCTACTCAGGAGGTTGAGGTGGGATGATCCCTTGATCCCAGGAGTTCCACGATGCTGTGAGCTATGATCATGTCACTGCACTCCAGCCTGGGTGACAGAGCAAGGCCCCATCTCCATAAATAAATAAAAACTATTTAATTGAGTCAATGTAATATATCACATTAATGAAAGGAAAAAAACCTACATGGCCATCTCAACACAGAAAGATCACCTGACAAAATCCAACATGTTTTCATCATAAAAATAGTCAAACTAGGAATAGAAGGGAATGTCCTCATTTAACAAAAGATTCCTGTGAAAAACCCACACCTAACAACATCATACTTACTGGTGAAAGCTTGGATGCTTTCTCTTTAAGATCAGGAAAAGACAAGGATGTTTGCGCTCACCACTTCTATTCAATGTTGTACCAGACATGCTTCTCAGGGCAATTAGGCAAGAAAAAGAAATAAAACGCATCCAGATTGGAAAGGAAGAAAACGATCTCTGATCACTTGATCCTGTACAGAGAAAATCCTAAGGCATCCACTTAAAAACTGTGGCCAAACAAGTTAGATTATAGTTTGTAACTCATCTCTGACACAAGGCTATAGTTTCAGGGATCAGTACACAAAAATCAACAGTATTTCTATATATAAGCAATGAACAATCAAAAACTGAACAATTGGCCAGGTGCTGTGGCTCACGCCTGTAATCCCAGCACTTTGGGAGCTGGGTGGATCACGAGGTGAGGAGTTCGAGACCACCCTGGCAAACATGGTAAAACCCTGTCTCTACTAAAAATACAAAAAATTAGCCAGGAGTGGTGGCAGGCACCTATAGTCCCAGCTACTTGGGAGGCTGAGGCAGGAGACTGGCGTGAACCTGGGAGGCGGAGCTCGCAGTGAGCCAAGATCGCGCCACTGCACTCCAGCCTGGGCAACAGAGCCAGACTCCATCCAAAAAAAAAAAAAAAAAAGAACTGAACAATTAAGATAACAAAATTAACAATACCATCAAAATGAATAAAACCATAAGCAACAAATTTCAAGGAAGTACCAAGTTTATACAGTGAAAACTACCAAACACTGTTGAAAGAAATCAAAAACAACCTAAATGAAAGGAATCGACTTCAGAGTCCAGAAAAAATTCCTCACACTTCTGATCAATTTCAACAAGGATGCCCAAGACAATTCAATGGGAGAAAGAACAGTCTTTTCAACAAATGGTGCTGGAACAACTGGAGATCCACATGCAAAAGAAAAAAGTTGGACTCTTCCCTTACAAAATACACAAAAATGAACTCTCACATTACATACCTAAATGTAAGAGCTAACTAAACCTATACAATTCCTAGATGAAAACATAGGAATAAATCTCTGTGACTTTAGGTTATGCAAAGAATTCTTCTTAGATATGATGCCAAAAAAAAAAGCAACAACAAAACATTATCAAAACTGAAAATTTTTGTGCTTGAAAGGATAGCATCAAGAAAGTGAAATGACAACCCACTGAATGAGGGAAGTCCCTCACTTTAGGGAGATGAGTCCTAAAGAAAACAGTACTCTTGCCAATGACATAGTGCCACCTAGTGGCAACATAAGGTAAATCACAGTGGCAGTAGGAGGATCTCCACACTACTTTTACAGGAATGCACTGCAGGTAAAAAATAAGAAGCTACAGTACTGTTTGGCAGGACAATTTGTTTCATACATGCATACTATTACCCTGACTAAATTAACTCTCAAGTCTTACAGGTATTATTTGTTTTCATTTCCATGCACAGATTAGCCATTTAGTATTTACTAAATCAAACTCAATTTCTGAAGTGTCTTACACCAATATATTCATGGACATATGGTTAAAATTTTCCTTGAGGATCTATCATGTGAGAGTGTGGCTTATTATAACAAGTAAGCAGAACAGATAAACACAAAATAATAAGAAATCTCATGATTTACTCACATATAAGGGAGCTTGCTGTGGATTAAGTTTCATGACCCAGGACACTGAAACAGAAATGGAATAAATGAGAATAAAATTAAAAGTTGTCACCGAAAATATATAAGCCACCTAAAGTCCTAGGTGTCAAGCATAGCTCTGTGAGTACAATCCCGTGCCCGAGATTACCATATGCCCAGCTGTATGCTATACACTAAGAGATTTAGGAAGGAAGCGGGGTCAGGAATTGATCCCAGACTCAATCTTTTCAAGTGGGGAAGAAAGATCTTCCGATTGAAAAATAAAGACAAAAGGCTTCACTGTCACAGAAGTTTCAACAACCAACAGGATATTTAAAACAGTTATCAAAGCAAAACCATTGTATGTTCACTTACATTTTTACGTAGTCCCTCAAACTCACAAAATGCTGTTTACTCAGGGACTTCTTGCAGTCTTACTAGGGAGCCTGGAAAGTGAGGGGAGGATTGCAAGGGACCACTAGAACTCTCTTCCTCAATTCCCCTTCTCTGAGAAGGGAGGCTACAGCTTGCCTCTCTAACCACTAAAAGGCATGACCCTCCTCAAAGTTAATAGCTGGATTCCCTGATTGTTATGTTCACTAAATGAATTCTCATAAAAATCTCATTAAGATTTAGAGAAGGCTTCCAGGGTTGAATTCCTGAACATTAAGAATAGCATGTTCTTAAAAGTTTAACTTGGTGATTGGACCAGGACTTCATCTAGGCTATAAATGCTCAGAAGGGTAGGTCCTTTACCAAACACCCTGAGTTTGAGTATAAAGTGATCTCAATCTCTTAAGAGTCAGAGAAACAGAACCAAGTGACTTTACTATAATTTGATCTGAGGAAGTTTCTTACTCACAATAGGTAAATGAAGGCACATACTAACCAGCAAAATAACAGTATAAAGTGTCATTCATACATGCAAAAACACAGACAAAATAACAAACTTTGTATTCTAACAAATCACAAAAGCCTCACTGAAATTGAAATGACCAACTGTTGGGACTGAAAAGCAATGCCTTGGTAGCCTAGCCATGCCTAACTCAAATAACAGAACCATCTCGATATTACAATCCTCACAGATCAAGTTGTGTATGTCTCGGATCAAGACTTCACCAAAAGGCAGTTAACACACACTTAGAGGGAAAAAAATCTACATCAGCCTCCTAAATGCAATCATCTCCACACCAGTTGCAGGCCCCAAGCTTCAACGTGTTCTGCTGGACAACGCAGTAGAAAACTGACAAGCAAGTGGCTTTCCCACACTGACTGAACCACCTCCATGCCCATGCCCATTCATTCTCTGGTCCACCCCATGCGCTATAACAGACCTCCTGGCTCAGGGCACTCTTTCCTTCCTGACTATCTTCACTTAATGACTTTGTACTTTTAGGTGCAAAAATTATCTGCAGAAATCCACACTGAAAACCAAGCTTGAGAAAGGCAGCAATAACCAACCAACATTTTTAGAAGAACAAAGTCAATTTCAAGCCCATCAGATTCAAACAGCAAGCATGGATGAAAATGAAAGATTGAAAGGCTTGAGTGCCTTCTTAATGTATTAAATATCCATTTAATTTACAATTAAGCTCACTGTGCTCACTGGCCTTTTAATCAGCTTTCCAGGGCCTGCTCAGACTTGCCTAGGACATGGGAATGAAAGAACCTATAAATTTATGGACCAATCTACCTTAACTAACTTGTCAAGTGTTCCTGCATCAAGCAGAAGAAATATCAGTGAAATTTATACAGGAATTAACACCTTGTTAAGCCACAAAAATTAAAAGAGTGTCGTCCAATCTTGTAGCTTCCCTGGGCCACGCTGGAAGAAGAAGAATTGTGTTGCGCCACACATAAAATATACTAACACTAATAATAGCTGATAAGCTTTAAAAAAAATTGCAAAAAAAGAAAATTTCATAATTTTTTTGTTTGTTTGTTTTTGAGATGGAGTCTCGCTCTGTCGCCCAGGCTAGAGCGCAGTGGCACAATCTTGGCTCACTGCAACCTCTGCCTTCTGGGTTCAAGCAATTCTCCTGCCTCAGCCTCTCGAGTAGCTGAGATTACAGGCACCCGCCACAACACCCAGCTGATTTTTTGGTGTTTTTTTTTTTTTTTTTTTGAGACGGAGTCTCGCTCTGTCGCCCAGGCCGGACTGCGGACTGCAGTGGCGCAATCTCGGCTCACTGCAAGCTCCGCTTCCCGGGTTCACGCCATTATCCTGCCTCAGCCTCCCCAGTAGCTGGGACTACAGGCGCCCGCCACCGCAACCGGCTAATTTTTTGTATATTTAGTAGAGACGGGGTTTCACCTTGTTAGCCAGGATGGTCTCGATCTCCTGACCTCATGATCCACCCGCCTCGGCCTCCCAAAGTGCTGGGATTACAGGCGTAAGCCACCATGCCCAGCCAATGTTTTAAGACAGTTTACGAATTTGTGTTGGGCCACATTCAAAGCCTTCACAGGCTGCATGCAGCCTGCAGGCCACGGTTTGGACAAGCCTGGATTAGAGAAATCTACAGAGACAAACTAGTGACTTAGCAGCCCTCTGATGTTTCGTGATTTGCAAGAAACTTCGGATGACTATGTGTAAAGACCACAAACATCAATTTAACTGAATGGTTCCCGCCACACTGGAATGAGGAAGCTGAGCAAACTTAGAGGGCTCTAAGAAAGGGCTGATGTCATCTGAACTGTTCGGAATTATAAACTCCTCTAAACATGTTTCAAAACCAGAACTCGTAAGAGTTGTTCTGATACAAGGATTAAAAGAGGGATGACAAAGTGTCTGTCCCTCACACTGGTCAAAGGGACAGGTCATTGTTATGCTGGCAACACAGGCTGCTGAAAAGAATGTATCTGTCAAAAGTAATCAAAGTAATGACCCCAGAAGGCTCCAGAAACAGACTGGTAAATTCAGGTTGCTTTCAGACTTCCACAATGCTGGCACACAACGGGAAAGACAAAACTAACATTTACAGAGCATTATATTTGATATTACATTTAATCCCCACTAAAAAGATACTATTTCCCCTATTTCACTAGTGAAAAAAATTGATCTTTCAAAGGTTAAATCATTTAACACCAAGGTCAAAGGGTAAGTTGGAGAGACCAGATTCAAACCCAGTCTGACGTTAAAACGTGTGTTTTTCCCCCCACATCGTAAGAGGATCTCCTGCTAATGACCTCAAATCTAAAAACTGACTTGCCCTATACCTCGAGCCCCATCCTACAAACTCTCCCTGACATTGTTAATTCAGCTGTCATTGTGCACCTACAATGTGCCAGACACCATACTCCTCAAGACTCTGTAGGCACAGAAGGAACAGACAAAAATCCCTACCTTCATAGATATTATTCTAGGGGTAACACAGGTAAATAAAACATTAAAATAAATAGTTTTCACACAGTAACAAATTCTATAGAGAAAAATAAAACAGAAGAAGGAATAGCAAATGAGGGAGATGCCCTTTAAAACATGGTGCTGAGGGAAGGCCTCCCTGAGAAGATATCATTTACCCCAAAAATAAAAAAGCAAGTAATAGAAATAACAGCTAAAAGGTGTTCTAGACACTTAAACCTGCCACAACATTGAGAACTCAGGGTTCTGATGCAAAACCTCGCTGCATATAATGCATTAACTTATTTTATACATTTAAACAAACTCTACTTAAGAACTGAGTTCTAAAGGGAGGAGCATATTACAGGAAGGCAGTTTTTGGTCAGAGTAAACACACTTAAAAACTAAACCTACTGAAAGACCAAGAACAACTGAAAGTCTTTGCTTTGTCAGTAGATTTTTTTACCAAAATGAAAATTAAAGAAACACATCATGCCCATCCAATGATTTCACCAAGGAATTTTAAGAGAGAAAATCCTACTTCTTCCTCACCCAGTAGCCAGTGAAATGACTGAGCAAATTCACAAGTTCACTGAGGCTGCTTTCATGTAACACAGGGACAATACATGACAGACACAGTGGAACCCTACAGGTTGCCTAGTATTTAAAGACTGTGAAGAGGAGGAAATGTCAAAATTCAAAGTCTTAAATGATGTGGTTTTAAGTATGTTCAGCAATTTCACCACTCAGTAGTAAAGCCAGCTACAGTTGAAAGGAATCAGAAATTTGAGGGGTGTGAAATAAGCAGAAGCACAGAAGTTAAGAATTTGTATTCTTCCCACATTTTCCACTTTATTTTATACTGATGAGAAAAAACAAATTTAATAGTTTTCTGCTGTATAAAAGAGACACATTCACTTTATGTCAAAATAAGAGTCACTCAATTTTAATACAACTATCTCAATTTATAAATTAACATTCTCCCCCACTGACCACACACAGTAAGTCTCTTCTGGTGTTGTTGATTAGAGAAGCAAAAGTTGCTGCTACAATTCTCTTCCTACATTTTAATATAAACAATCATCAGTCTTTTCTTCATAAAGTGCAGTGTGGACACCATCATCAGAATGTACCAGCGCTGGGTGTGCAAAGTTTACAAAGATCAGCAATAGCAAAAGTTTGGAGATTTTTGAAATTCATGCTGCTGCAAAGAACTATGTAAAAACCACTCACTATAGAGGACCACAGAGAAACTCAGGCATGAAGTTATATGGCTGTGTGATTGGTTTGGGAAAAGGAACAGAAAGCATTTCCACCAACCCGTATGTCTGAACAAATGACTGCAAAACCTCAGAAGCTACGAAAATGTTTATATACTAACCAAATACCTCTTAATAAGCCAGAGAAACAGTGTGTCTCCTTAGGACAGACGCGGTGGCACACGCCTGTAATCCCAGAATTTTGGGAGGTCAAGGCAGGCTGATCACTTCAGATAAGGAGTTTCAGACCATCCTGGCCAACATGGTGAAACTATACATGTCCCTACAAAAAATACAAAAATTAGCCGGGTGTGGTGGCGGGCACCTGTAATCCCAGTTTCTGGGGAGGCTGAGGCATGAGAATCGTTTGAACCTGGGAGGTGGAGGTTGCAGTGAGCCCAGATTGCACCACTGCACTCCAGCCTGGGCAACAAGAGAGAAACTCTGTCTCAAAAAAAAATAAGAAGAAAGAAATGGTGTGTCTCTATCCAACAGCTTTATACATCTCACAGATATTTTCAGCTTAACCCCCCCACCCCCACCACCTACATCTCAATACAGGAAAGTAATAGGGTGCCATACAATATTCTCTAGACAATAAATCAAATTCAATCCCAAGTCCTCTACAATTAACTGTATTACCTTGAGCAAGTCACTTAACTTGTCTGAATCTTCATCTCCTTATGTGCAGAAAGAGCATAATAATGCTTCCTATACTGTGGGGTTACTGGAAGAGATGATCCAGGTAAAGTATTAAAGCACACTGACAGGCACATAGCAGAAGCCAATGCTTCTCCCTCTTGCAGAGTTCCTGAGTCTCAATGGAGACTAACCCCACATAAGATACTTTGAAATCCATAAATGGCTAAATGAAAGGCTTCAGATACTCAGAGACGCCTTTCTGGTAACTTCTTAAAATACGCTGGTGGGTAAACTACAATTCTAAAATATAATACAATAATCATAGAAAAGAATCTGGAGGAACGAACACCAAAATGTTAAGTGTACATATCTCTGGAGATTACAGGAAATTTTCATCCCTAAATAATCTGTTTCTTAATTGTAACTATTCAAATAATGAACAGATATTACTTTTTAATCAGGAAGAAAACATTATACACAGCATGTCTGTTTTAAAGTCCCTTGTCATTCAATACATCACAACTGTACTGGAAATAAGTAAAAAGACACTGTTTCCTAAATGTGTAAAACTGAAGACATCCACAATCTTTACCAAAAGTCCCTAGAACCAATAAAAAAAAATTAAAATGAGAATGTATCCAGATGTACATTAACATCAATCAAATTCACTATTCTTTAGCCACACCTACACATGCTACAAGAGAAGCCTTTAACAAGCGCTCCACCATTAATGACATGTCCCTAAAAAGGGGGGTGGGGAGTCACAGGCCCAACATCATATAACAAACTGGAAACCCTTCTGTACCTGTTAACTTGGTGATCTCAGCATATTTTCTAAGGACCAGCTGTCCAGGTCTGACATACCTACCACATCAATTGACAGGGTTTTTGTCACTCTCAACAGGGAAGCTTCCAAATCCACAAAAAAATAGGAGGGGGCAGATCACCCCTACATCTGCTCCCAGTCCCAACAGGCAGACAGCAGCTGTCTGGGACTCAGCCAAGTATAAATAGAGCATTTTTACCTGCAGGGTACTTCCATGGCACAATGTGCTTCAAATGAATTTCCATGGCCAGGGATCCTGCTAAGACTGGGCTACAGTCAATCCTTCAAAACCCACAAAAATTTCGAGTGAGGGTTAACATGGAAATGACAATGCATACTTTGGATTCTTGTAAAAGAGTCAATGTTCAGCTCTTCCTCCAGGAAAATAACAGGATCCAAAAACTCTTTCCTTCAACCCACGGAGCCTGGGCTGGTGGCTATAAAAATGTTATGCCCTGGTTGGGGAGGCTGGGAATATGAGCTAGAAATTCTGAACAACGGAAGAAGACCAGGATACAAAAAGTAAATACGCTTTTCCTGTTGAAGATGCCAAGTTCTATCAAAAAAGTAAAATACCACATGGGCCAAATATATTTCCTGAATAAGGGACTGAGGAAGTCTTACAAGACCCTCATGAATGCTTTACTTTTGTTTGCAGCTACATTAATAATTGAGCAGTTAGTTTTAAGCAGCGATTCTTGAACCTTAGTACACATGAACATCAGTTTAAGGCCTTGTTAAATAAGGCTGATTCTCATTCCCAGGACCAGAAAGAGTAGAAATCGGGAGACCAAATCTGGTGATCCTTTGCTCTGGAATCATGACCCACACTTCGGGAAATGATGTTAAGACTCATAATATGTGTCTGATTCTCATACGGAACAGTTAGCCCTGCTCTGCCCCACTATCATATGATGGTACTTACTAGCCACCAAGACAAAACACAAAGCACTGAGCCCAAATGGGTAAGGCGAGGGGTTGGGAGTGGGACAAAGGAGGCAGGCATGACATGAAGGAAATGAAGAGTCTAACACAGGGTAACATTCAACAGTAAAACAAAAGAACATAGCAAATTAAAACAACAGCAACGACAAAACAGTAACACCCACGTTCACTCATTTAATTTATTCTTTATCAACGCTGGATTACCCAAAAGGCATAAATGATCCTGAGTTTGGGCCAAACACATGCACAAACACCAAATCAATGTAATTATCATGGAAAAAAAATCAGAACTCTTACAATAATGAAATACAAATAATTTAAAATAGTAAGTTAAATGTAGTTTTAAAAAATCAGAACTCTGACATCCTTATAATCATTTTAGAGTTTATTTGAAAGTTGTGTAGGAGAGTACACTATAATCTTTTCCGTGTTTAGGTTATCTTTTTCTTGACATATATTTATAATATGTGCCTGGCACATAAAAACTCAATAAAGGGAGATAATTTCACATTTCTGAGCCCCTAAAATATTACATGTACTAAGTTATTGAGCTTTAGCAATAAATAATATGTGGTTCCTACCACTTTAGTAAAGGGTCATATGTATGTAAACAGATATTACAGTATGATGAGCACAATAATAAAAATGTTACAAGGATCAGGAAGGAGCAATAAACTCTCTAGAAGATGGGGGGTCCAGACAGAGATTACTGGAAGAAGCAAACCATGGGGAAAGTTCCACCAAGTGGACACAGGAGGAGAAGCACAGGATAGAAGGAACAGCACGCGCCAGATATGACAGCACAGTGAGTAGCTGAGAACTACAAAGATGAATAGGAAGTGCACGCAGGGGATCGTGGGGAAGGAGTCACAAGAGGCATCCAGGTCAATCCACATACCTCAAAGTTGCCCAGCCTTAGAAACAGAGGCAGGGAGAGAGAAGAAAATACATAAACCACTGTGACACAGCTCCATACTAAAGAAATCTCAGCCATTATACAAGGGAAAAATAAATGTGTTGCAGCTAAATGGGGAAAAAAGAAATCATGGCCCTATAATGGCAGTGGTATCAACAAAGCTCTGCCTTTTTTTTTTTTTTTTTTTTTCCTTTTTTTAAGCTCAGTTCAAATTTCTGTTCATTCACAACTGCAGGTTCAAAGATTCACAAAAAGCAGCACTGGAAAAAGTTTGTAATTGTGTAGCGTAAACTCAAACCCAGACACAGCAAGGATCTGTTGGGGGCCCCAGCCAACAGGGCCAGGCCAGACTCCCACCATGACTTCCCTGAGGTGCAGCAAACAACAGCTGGTGCCCCATCAATTTACACCAGCCTCTGGAGTTTCTTAATCCCAATCCCAAATTACAAGAACTTACAGGTAGAAGGGGTCTTGGAAGTAGCCCAGATCATTCTTCTTCCCCAAGGAGGACTCACTGCCAATGTGCCTGTCTCTGCTTGTAGACTTGAGCACCAGGGCCTTATCACCCTGAGAAAATCTCTCTATGCCCCACTCGCACCTCTGACTCAACCTTCCTAAAATGCTATTTTCATTCTGTAGCACCCTCTCTGCCTTCACAGAAGTAAGTAATCTTTTAGAACAGTTCTTTTGGGATACCAGTGCCTTTACTTTAGGGAGTTCTAGGGCATGGCACTCAAATAGTAACCTACCATGACTCGAGAAAGGGAGAGAAAAGCATAAACATAAAATGTGATCACAGTTTTGGGAACACATTTAACCCACCTTAGTTTTCCTAGAGCTTCCAACCTCCAGAGCTTAAAGATGGAGCCCTGTACTCTGGGACCCATATTCCTAAATGCTGCATCCACAGACACACATGGCCAGCACATGATTAAGCCCACTACATTTCTTCTGTAAAAAATTAAACGTACTTATTTTACAACAACGATAGACAAGCCACTTGGATGAATAGTTATTAAAGGAAAGGATGATTGCAGAGTCCTCATTAAGATTAGAGACAACCTTCTAGTATTTAAGAATCATTTGATGACCCCAACAGACTAATGTAAGGATAAAAATTAGAGTACTAACGTAATTCAGAGACAGAGACAAAAAGACCTAGAATTGAGTTGTAAATGTGGCACTTACTGGCTGTGTTACCTTGGACAAGTTACTTAACTACCAAGCTTTATTTTCCTCATCTGTAAAATGAGAATACATAAAATTAAAGATGTGTAGTTAAAGGTTTAACACAGTGGTAGGCAATAAGAAAATAATAAAGTAAGCTCCTATTCTTCTTGCCTGTTATGAATTACATGATAGCCTTTCAGCACTAACCTTCTATCACATTCAGCTACCACATCTCTCAGGACATCCTCATCACTGTGTCGATCCCTAATTCTAAATAAAAGGTGATGGTGAGGAAAATATACATTCCAACAGATAAGGTACTCTATTAAACATACCATTTATCATTGGTGAGCTCTCAGAAGCCATCCACCATGCCCCCACTACCCCTCTGGTGCCTCCAAAGAGTGTTCAGGGTCCCTCATTATCTATAAAGCCTTACTGAGCACTCTTTTCTTCCATACCACACCTTCCATCCAGTCCCTGCATACCTCACATGCATGCACCATGCTCAGTCCAGTCCTCAAGTCTTTGCTCATGTTCATGCCCTCCACCCTTGCTGATTTTAATAGGATTATCACTGATAATCTAACCCACACTATCAGCAGTAAGTCAAATACTATCTTCTATTTTTCTTTTATTTTTGTGCTTGCCTTCTCTCCCCAACTTGTTTTTAATCTAGTCTACTGCATTGCAGATGTCTCCTGTAGCACCCTCCACACCACTACTGCTCATGCCACAGCACCTGGCACAGTACTGAGCCCCCAATGAATGCTAGAGAAATAACTGTTTGACATGAACATCAGAGACAGAGAAATTCATCAGCTGCTTTGCTGCACCATAGTTTGATGGCAAGGGATCCACAGTTATAGCTATAAGTACAAAAATCAACTCATCAAAACAAAAATGTCTAAAAATCACTCTAGCCCCAGAAGGTTAAACTGGTAGCTCATTAAAGGCAGCATGAATTCTGCTAAGTGTTAAGCAATCCAGCCTGAAGCAATTTGCTTAATCTGCCAGAGAGGTAATAGGGACCAGAGCTGGGGAATTCAACATCATATAACTAGACAACCTCAAAGTGAAGGGGAGGACAAAGAGCTACTTAACACTATACTTAGGATCCCACATGATGGTTGGTACCTCTGGAAAGAGGAACTCATGGACATGTTATTTCAATTCTCTTTTGGTGTTTAACACAGGCTTGTGGTTTCCTGCAAAAATGGTTTCTGCTGCTTTGCAAAGATCTATATGGAGAAGAAAACTCCCAATGGCCATTCCACAGGTGAGAATTTTGCCACCAGCTGTATCCTGTTATCCAAAGGAAACGGGAACCATAAGCTGCCAGGAGGTCCAGACACAGGAGAGGAAGGCCATAATTCAGTGAGTGCTGACATTCCTATCCCTACGGTAATAAGAATAAACTTTAAATTTAGAAAAATTCTTACACAGCTGGGTTTTATGTAAATTAACTTCAGGAGGGGTTAAAATAGATATCCGGCAAAGAGACTGCCAAATTCAAGCCTTTACACTTCCTTCATCCTCCCCAGCCTCTATCAACCAAAAAGCAGGCTGTCCAATGGGCTAAACCAATTATAAACCACCTGGAAAGACTAAATATAGGCAGGTAGGCTCTCACACAAATGAGGACATTACTGAGCTGGATGACCTTACCTGGACAAATGCGAGACCTGTTAGGAATGATTTCCAAGGCAGGCACGGCCCACCTTCTCACACACGTTATGTGACTATCGAACGAGTCACACAAGTGTCAGAGGGGATCAGAGACGTTAAAAATGTCAGTTACCTTGTTAATTATTAGACTGGTTCTTGTCTTGAGAATAAATATTGTCTTCAATGTTATAATTTCACAATACTAAGCCTTTAACATCTTGAGAACAATGACACTGGAAACACAAGGTGGTAGGTTTTTGTTAAACCACCTATCAAAATTGGAAGGAAAAGTTTTAAACAATGAAGACTTCAAATTAAAAACTTGTATATGTCATAATTAAGTGAAAATTCTACAGATATGAGGAAAACTTCAATATTCTAAGCAGTCCCCTATTAAAGATTTTGTTAATGTTAATCGCTTCAATGAAAAATTTTATTTCTAATGGGGAATTTCTAATCATAAAACATTCCTGACATGAGTAATCCCTTAGACAGTCATTCTTGCTCTTATACACCAAGCAAGGATATTTCTGAAAATACTAATGCATTTATTTTATGTGGCAAAGAACTAGGTTAGCCAACTAAAAGCACATGAAAATTAATTATCAACACTGATGCCAGGTCAATACAGAACTTGTGACAACATGAATGGCATTTTTAGCAGAGAATCTGACTATTTAAAGACAGCATTTGGGGAGTGGGGCAGAGGGAAAGAAAGGAATCAGGAATATATGTTTTAAACTACGAAAATAATGGGCTTATGAGCTTTTACCTCTTGGAGGAAGAGCTGAGAACATGTTAGCTTGTGTTTTTTAACCACTGCTACTCCTGCTGATGGAGAGTCAGCCACATGTTTGATACAGAAACCCATGTTTACAGTTGGGAACACTTTTTTCATCCTATGTAAGTCACCTAGAGAAAGAACTGATATCACAGAGACTTTAAACTTTCAAACTAGTAGTTGAGTGGGCTGTATTTCTTAAGGATTCTGCTGTTCAAGTAAGAAGTGAGGATTTTATTTCCTCATTGCTTCCCATTATCATTTTTTTCTTGTTGCTTATCCCAAGTCAGGTATGCCTGTTTACTGGATTAGTGTCAGTGAAAGATGAAGTTTACAGAACATCTCCTGTGCACTAAATTGCTGCACAGATGGCATCTCATTTGACCTACCACAGGCCTCTCAGGCGAGTGGTTATTAACTCTGTTTTCTACAGAGGAGGGAGGCCCCTGGCTAGCAAGAGGTTGGGCTTC
The DNA here is from genome assembly GCF_000001405.40 of Homo sapiens. Taxonomy (NCBI): domain Eukaryota; kingdom Metazoa; phylum Chordata; class Mammalia; order Primates; family Hominidae; genus Homo; species Homo sapiens. The sequence continues at coordinate 85,473,737 of NC_000015.10, read as the reverse complement.
ACCTCCCTCCCCTCTCATGACCCTCTTACTATGACCAAAGCAGTCCATCATTCTTCAGTTGACATGGGATGTTTAGTTGATTCTGAGCTTTGGCTGTCTCTGGGTTTTTGAAGCAACCTGAGTTCTTTGGTTTTTCAGATCAGTCTGAATTCTGGCCATCTTCTAACGATGACTAATCTAGCACTGAACCAACTGCGTGTTGCAGTGGGGGCCTCCTGTGGGGCCTATTTAACTTATGTGGAGAATCAGAAAGCCAAGGTCTCAGCATTCTCTGGAGGGTTTATTTGGACTTTTTATAGTTCATTCTATCTATAATCTCGGTCCAGAGTATGCACTCAAATATTTGCTGAATTGAATTATTTCCCTTTCAAATACTTTTTGTTTGCGTGGTTTACATCTTCTCTTACTTGTGCCTTCCACATCAAATTGCTCTCCTGACAACCTGGGTCTGTAAGCCTACATCCCTACTCTTTACTCCCACCCCCACACCCGCGCCCAGTTAACAAAACCTGCAAAGCAGTAGCTTTACTTTTAGGACCCCGTACCTTGAAATCTTCAGTCTTTTTTCCCTAAATTAATTTACTTTTTGACTGTAACAGTTTTCAGGGAAAGTAGCCAGTTGTGCTCCTTATGTGCTTATTATGACCAAATTATTAGCACGTGGGTCATTCTGTTACAACAGTGATTTTATGAAACACCTATGTGTATTTTTTGAATTTTTGAAGTGTAGTAATTTTAAAGGAAAGGGTACTATTTAGCAGATGTCTAGCTGTTTCTCTAGCTATATTCTTGTGTATATGTCACATATATTAAATATTTAAAGTGTCACATACATAGTAATATGGCCTGTTTCCACATTTACTAGAAACAACAGTTTATCATTATGCATTTCTGTTATATAAGTGCTATTTATCTTTTCATACACAGCTACAAATGCTAAAATGTTTTAAAGCACCAGGTCTGTATTTTTCATGACAACCTTATTTTTTATTATCTTAGTTCAAGTGGGGAAATTAATTTTATTCCTCCCCTATATGAGAAGTTCTTAATATGTAAATCCTCTAAGAGTTTCCTACTAAGAGGAGTTCAAAGCTAGGTGTGGTGGTGCACACCTATAGTCTCAACTACCTGGGAGGCTAAGGGGAGAGGATTGCTTGAGCATCTCCTCCCTTGAGAAGTTTGAGGCCAGCCTGGGCAACGTAGCAAGATCCTTTGTCTACATTTTTTAAAATGTCAAAAAGAGTTCAGAAAAGTTGAAATTCAGGGAATGAACACTGAAGCTTCTCTTAAATGTTTTATTTCTAAATCCAGAACGAGTGTTATATTACCCCAATTTAGACTGGCAATAACTTGTTGAAAATTTGTTGAGTTGTTGTCTTTGTTTTTTTTTTTTTTTAAGAGATGGGTCTTACTATATTGACCAGGCTAGACTCCAACTCCTGGGCTCAAGTGATCCTCCTGCCTCAGCCTCCCGAGTACTTGGGACTACAGGTGGGCACCACTGCACCAGCTTCCTGCTTTGTTTTTTGTTTTTTTTTTAACCTAGTATATGACTTTAAACTCAGATCTAATCTAACCAATTCTTCACCATAGCATTGTTAAACAATTACAAGTTGAAATTTCAAATAATTGTAACAGCATAAAAAACCATGAAATACTTAAGGACAAATTTAATGAAATGTGTAAGGCCTGTATACTGAAGACCGAAAAACTTGCTTAAAAAAATACAAAACTAAAGATCTTTTAAAATAGAGAGATACATGGTAAATATATTAGCTTAATATCATTAAATGTCAACTTTCCCCCAAACTGATCTACAAATTTAATGCATTTCTAATAAAAACACCAGTAGTCTTTCATAAGGCAAGCTGATTCAAAAACACATGGAAATGCAAATGACTTAAAATATTCAAATCAGTTTGAAAAAATAAACAGAGCTAGTATAAGTTCAAAGACTTATATTACCTATTATGCGATCCCATTCTTATGCAATTCTAGAAAAGGCAAAAGTAGTGACACAATGTAAACCAGTGCTTGCCTGGACCCAGGGATGGGGGGAGGCGATTACAAAAGGACAAGAAACCTGGGAGTGATAGGAATGTTCTATTTGCTGATTGTGGTGGTGGTTACGTACGCAGTTATCAGAACCAACTGACCTAAGCACTTAAAATGGGTGAATTTTATTGTGTTTAAATTATACCCTAAATAAAGCAGTTTTTTGTTTGTTTGTTTGTTTGTTTTTTGAGACGGAGTCTCACTCTGTCGCCCAGGCTGGAGTGTAGTGGCACCATCTCAGCTCACTGCAAGCTCCGCCTCTTGGGTTCATGCCATTCTCCTGCCTCAGCCTCCGGAGTAGCTGGGACTACAGGCACCTGCCACCACACCCGGCTAATTTTTTGTATTTTTAGTAGAGACAGGGTTTCACCATGTTAGCCAGGATGGTCTCGATCTCCTGACCTTGTGATCTGCCTGCCTCGGCCTCCCAAAGTGCTGGGATTACAGACGTGAGCCACCGCGCCCAGCCAATAAGGCAGATTTTTAAACTTTTAAAAAATATCTTCAAACAATTCAACAGTTCTTTATAATGCTGTAATGCTTTGTGTCATTGTGTTGAACACCAATTGTCACTATTCCATGGCTGAGCCTGGTAGAAAATCTCAGCTTCCTCCACAATGAGGGCAGTAACAGGCTGGCAACAAGAGGCCAGCATGAAGTCACAAGGGACGTGGAAAGTACATAAAACTAGGTAACTAAGATAGTGCCAGATGTTTGTTTAAAAGCGCTACAAAGTGAATAGATAATAAGGATAAGAATGACTAAAATTACACTGAAACTTAACCAACTGCAGTCATGATGTTATAGCTCAGAGAAAGCATAAAATTGAATGTTCCTGAGATACTGCATCTCTGTTTCTCCCCACATCTCCAAAGTAACATAAAATCACTGAACTCTCTTCACTGTCAATGCTTAAAGCACTGAGCCTTTGTCTAACTGCATGTCTGTCAGATGCATGCTGGCTACTTCAAACAAAAGAAAGTGATTAGGGCATACTGACTTTATTATAAAGTTACAAAATGAAAGGCAAGGAGGGATAAGAAAAGCTATTTTGGAAAGGGAAAAGCTACTTTAAAAAGACCGATCGTGAGCCTCTAAACTAGTTAAGAATTTGAAAGAACCTTGTACAAACCACGTAATCTCTCTAGGTGTCAGATTATTCCTCTATAAAACAAACTATAATGTTTTAATGCTACTGTTTTAAACATGTTTGTTTTATAAAGCAGTATGTCTGAGTTGAAAGTGAATTACCTTTATTAGCATCGAAACAGAATCAGGCACAACTCTTATAAACTGGCGTTTTAAAAAGGCACTGGCAGTTCTTCCTCCTCTACTATGGACTCTTGGGAATGCAGATTCTGTTTTGTTTTGGTTTGGTTTGGTTTGGTTTTTTGAGACAGAGTTTCGCTCTTGTCACCCAGGCTGGAGTGCAATGGCGAGGTCTCGGCTCACTACAACCTCCGCCTTCTGGGTTCAAGTGATTCTTGTGCCTCAGCCTCCCGAGTAGCTGGGATTACAGGTGCCCACCACAATGCCCGGCTAATTTTTTGTATTTTTTGTAGAGACAGGGTTTCACCGTGTTGGCCAGGCTGGTCTCGAACTCCTGACCTCAGGTGATCCACCCACTTTGGCCTCCCAAAGTGCTGGGATTACCGGCGTGAGCCATCACAACCAGCTGATTCAGTTTTCTTTAGTACTGCCCTATATGTTACTTGGAAGAGAGATTATTGAAGGCTGCCTTTCCCATGTAGCGAGAGGTTGAGAAAAAGTACCATTATTTCAGAACACTCATGAACTTTTGTCTTTAAATACTACAATTCTCTGCTAAAAATGCCATTCACATTATCACAAGTTCTGTATCGACATGGCATGTAGATTGTAAAACTGGAGTTGACAGTTTTCATGTGCTTTTAGTTGACTAATCTAGTTCTTTGCCACCTAAAATAAATGCATTAGTATTTTAAGATTCTCTGTTCAGGGGTCTAATGTGTTCTGGCCAAAGTCTATGTGCACACTTATTAACAGATGAGTTAGTTATTTAATGCATGCTGCTTAACAGTCACAGTATCCTTGCACTGGAGGAAAACAGGTCAAATAATAAATCTGTATCTTGCAGCTGGTGGGTCCACCAGAAATGGCCTGCAAATGATGACTCCAGATGAGCAGCTATTCCAGAAGTAAACTTAGGGATCAATGCTAAACTTTATACCTAAAACAGCACCTGTCTTTACCAGATTAATCCATTTGTCACAATCTGGAACTACCTGGAAAGAGGTAATCCTGCTGACAGGAACACCCAATAGTAATATCCACTGTACATAGCAACTACAGCCCTAACCTCAGGTCTATCTATTCTAGAAGGCACTATTATATGCAGTTCCTTATTAATAGAGGCACTTTCTGGTTGCAATAGGACATATATCCGCACATGACATCTCTCATTTATCCTCTTAAACATTTACACACCTGGCCTGGTGCGGTGGCTCACGCCTGTAATCCCAGCACTTTGGGAGGCCAAGGCGGGTGGATCACCTGAGGTCAGGAGTTCAAGACCAGCCTGGCTGACATGGTGAAATTCCATCTCTACTAATAATACAAAAATTAGCTGGGCGTGGTGGTGCACGCCTGTAGTCCAAGCTACTGGGGAGGCCGAGGCAGGAGAATTGCTTGAACCCAGGAGGCAGAGGCTGCAGTGAGCTGAGATCACGCCATTGCACTCCAGCCTGGGTGACAAGAGCAAAAGTCTGATTAAAAAAAAAAAAAAATTTACACACCTAATAAGGGCCAGATCAACTGGTAGTCACAGCCCTCAAGGAGCTCTCAATCTGTTAGGAGAGACCTGTATGTAAACTCCTAATTGCAAGGCAATGAAAATATTCTACAAGTATTTGTGAAGCATGAAGGGTGAAATGGGGGCAGCTTCACAGAAGTTATGCTCTCTGACCTAAAAAAATTAGTAAAGACTAAACTCATTCCCCAAATGTTAATTTAATTATATTTTAAGTCAGACTTCATACAAAATTCTACAAATCCAGTTCATATTAGAAACTACTTGTTGTGCTTTGCTTGGATAAAGAACAAAATATCTGAAAGTGATACAACAGAACTCATCTGAGAGAACCAAGACATCTCTTTAGTAGCCTGGTGTTCTTTAAAGCATCAAAGCTATATTGTTAAAATGCTAATATGCCTATTCTTCCAAGCTACAAATCACGACTGATTTTACCAAAACTTAATTTTATCTCAGTCTGTTTCCAAAGAGTTATTACCTCTCATCTGCTACTAGAGATTTTAAATAGTCCAAACTTAGAGGACAACTACTAAAACCACGAAAAGTCATAACACAGTGTGATTTTCCAATCTCAATATACCTCTAGAAGGGCTAAGACTCTGACCGTCTAAAAGGGGCATCAACCATAAGACAGTATACTCAGGCTATTTCAAAGATGTAATGCAAATTGAGGGCCAGACTAGAAAAACAGACAGGCTTCCCAATTTCAGCTTCTTGCAGCCTTAATAAGTCTTCATAGAATACCTCAAAAGTTCCTTTACCCTGAGAAATATAAGAATGCTTTTCCAACATAGTCTTATAATATTCATTCACCCAAGAAAGAGTTTAAGAACCACCTACTCACACAACATTTTGAAGTTTTGTTGTTCTTTCACATTATTGAGACAAAAATACAAAGAAATTAAAATGTGCAAATTTGAGTACTTGAACATATCAGAAATCAGGCATCAAAAATGTCCTCCTCAACTCTGCCTCCGTCAACACTTGAGTCAGTAAGCTGGATGAGGACAGAGAGCACACCCTGACCAAACTTGCTGGATCTAATGGGCAACAGGTTGGATAACAGAGCCGAAAAGATTGCAGGCCGAAATATCAACCCCTGAAATGTCCCATTATTATTTTAGTTATTCACTCATTCGCCAAAATTCAGTAAGCAGTTATTACTAGGCATATTGTGTTCGGTACTGCAGATAGAACAGTAAAAATACAGTCTTTTCCTTCAAAGTAGATATGTTCCAAGAGAAACAGATATGAAAACAAGGAAGACACAAGGGAGTGGCCAATTCTACCTAGGAAAGAAAGGATGGTCAGGAAGGCTGCAGAGAGGTAATCTGATCTCAATCTCAGAAGTTGAAAGAATGAAAAAAGCCTGACAATACATTAGGGATGACAGAGAAGTCATTCTAGATGGATAAAACTGTGTGTATGTTCACAGAGACACAAATAACTCATGGCTCTTTAAAGGAACAATTAATGGTGGCCCAGTAGGAACAGATCACAAGGTAATATGAGGATGCTGTGAAGCGGAAAGGTGGGAAGGAGGGCTCGCAAAGTAGGCAAGTTCAAAATCACAATCACTCAAACATTTATTGAGTACCTACCATGTACCAAGTACTGAATATACATATATGCAAGGTCTATATTTAGAATCAACTACATCAAATAAAGGTAGAAAAGCACAGAAGCACTTGTAAAATATACTATAGTGTTCACAAATGAATAATCAACAGTATAAAATGGGTGCCAAGATTGTTGGTGTGCACTAATACACGGATGATTGAGTTACATACGTGTGTGTGTGTGTGTGTGTGTGTGTAGTTAATACAATAATAGATGTAGTATCCAATGCAGAGAAGGTAATGAGTGATTCCAAATTACTATTTACTTAACAAACCTAGGATATAATGGTCCATGCTGGGAACCCACCAAGACAGACACAGATAAAATTTTTAAAAGGTTGGGAACAAAGTGAAGGGATGGTAAACAAAATAAAAATCATGTTGTAAAAATAGCAGTGGACAAAAATTAAAGAAGATTAACCAGGAAAAAGATCAAAGGATCTTTAAGTTTCTCTTAATTCCAAGATTCCAAAGCTTAACAACTGAGCAAAAATTTAAAAGCTTATTCTGGTGTTTCAAAGGTTTTATTCAAGTCATCACTGTCACCAATAAAAAGTACTGTGTGCCCATTATGATGAATAAGATGCAGTGCTAGACAGTACAAATGGGAAGAGGGATACAAAACTGAATCTGCCAAAGGATTCAAAAATGACTAAGATCCTTCCCTATTTAATAAATGGTGCTGGGAAAACTGGCTAGCCATATGTAGAAAGCTGAAACTGGATCCCTTCCTTACACCTTATACGAAAATTAATTCAAGATGGATTAAAGACTTACATGTTAGACCTAAAACCATAAAAACCCTAGAAGAAAACCTAGGCATTACCATTCAGGACATAGGCATGGGCAAGGACTTCATGTCCAAAACACCAAAAGCAATGGCAACAAAAGCCAAAATTGACAAATGGGATCTAATTAAACTAAAGAGCTTCTGTACAGCAAAAGAAACTACCATCAGAGTGAACAGGCAACCTACAAAATGGGAGAAAATTTTCACAACCTAGTCATCTGACAAAGGGCTAATATCCAGAATCTACAATGAACTCAAACAAATTTACAAGAAAAAAACAAACAACCCCATCAAAAAGTGGGCAAAGGACATGAACAGACACTTCTCAAAAGAAGACATTTTTGCAGCCAAAAAACACATGAAAAAATGCTCACCATCACTGGCCATCAGAGAAATGCAAATCAGAACCACAATGAGATACCATCTCACACCAGTTAGAAAGGCAACCATTAAAAAGTCAGGAAACAACAGGTGCTGGAGAGGATGTGGAGAAATAGGAACACTTTTACACTGTTGGTGGGACTGTAAACTAGTTCAACCATTGTGGAAGTCAGTGTGGCGATTCCTCAGGGATCTAGAACTAGAAATACCATTTGACCCAGCCATCCCATTACTGGGTATATACCCAAAGGACTATAAATCATGCTGCTATAAAGACACATGCACACGTATGTTTATTGCGGCACTATTCACAATAGCAAAGACTTGGAACCAACCGAAATGTCCAACAATGATAGACTGGATTAAGAAAATGTGGCACATATACACCATAGAATACTATGCGGCCATAAAAAATGATAAGTTCATGTCCTTTGTAGGGACATGGATGAAATTGGAAATCATCATTCTCAGTAAACTATCACAAGGACAAAAAAACCAAACACCGCATGTTCTCACTCATAGGTGGGAACTGAACAATGAGAACACATGGACACAGGAAGGGGAACATCACACTCTGGTGACTGTTGTGGGGTGGGGGGAGGGGGGAGGGATAGCATTAGGAGATATACCTAATGCTAAATGACGAGTTAATGGGTGCGGCACACCAGCATGGCACATGTATACATATGTAACTAACCTGCACATTGTGCACATGTACCCTAAAACTTAAAGTATAATAATAATAAAATTTTTTTTAAAAATGACTAAGATCCAAATATTTGCCTTTAAAAGATCTCTAGCCTACTAAAGAACAGATATATACAGCAAGGTTAAAAAGTAATTAATGCCTGGCCGGGCGTGGTGGCTCACGCCTGTAATCCCAGCACTTTGGGAGGCTGAGGCAGGCGGATCACAAGGTCAGGAGATCGAGACCATCCTGGCTAACACATGAAACCCCGTCTCTACTAAAAAAAAATACAAAAAAAAAAAAAAATTAGCCAGGCGTGGTGGTGGGCGCCTGTAGTCCCAGCTACTCAGGAGGCTGAGGCAGGAGTATGGCATGAACCCAGGAGGCGGAGCTTGCAGTGAGCCGAGATCGTGCCACTGCACTCCAGCCTGGGCGACAGAGCAAGGCTCCATCTCAAAAAAATAAAAAAAGTAATTAATGCCTAAAGATCAATAAAGGTAATTACAAGCAGGTTTAGGAGAAAACTACAGTTTAGTCTCTGGTTTCATCATTAACCTATCCTTAGAAATTAAAGAACTAGTAAAAGAAGAAAAAGGGACGGGGTAAGCAATTGAAAATTCTAAACCGACATAACCTTATTGTTAGAGAGATGTTGATACAAATTTGTTAATAGTCCTGACTCTGGTATCAGACTGCCTGAGGTTAAATTCTAGTTACACTGCTTCCGAGTTATATAAGCTTGAGCAGCTCAATTTAACTCTGAGCCTCAGACTTCTCTTTGGTAAAGACAGATGAACAAGAACCTACCAGTTCTAACCTCCCTCTTTGAAATTAATTCCTTAAAACAGAATAATTATACAAAAACTAGAGAGTTAGAAATGACCTAGGATAACTGGCTATGATAAAACCAAAATGAAATCAAAGGAATAAATATGAATGTGGAAGGCTTATCATACAGATTAAGTTTCAAAACTCAGGAATAGATATTATCCATATTCTACAAGAAAATGGACAATAGGGCTCAAAGAACTTGTTTAAGGACACTGCTCAAAAGTTATAAACTCTGGAGTCAACCTAAATCCAAAGCTCATTTTTTTAAATTCTAGACTGTATTACCTTCCAAAATCTGTAACTGGACTTCTAACAACTATTTTTAACACATACTAGAGCACACACAAGGATGGGCACAGGCACAACAGGGACAGGGAAGGGAGATATTTCAGTATTTATGAAGAGGAAAGTCGCCAGTCAGATAAAACAGAAAAGAGGAAGGCATGCCAGACTTTAACCCTTTGGTTGTTGGATCATAGACGCCGTGTGGGAAAGGGAAGAGTGATCATCGGGGTGGTTCAAGAGCAACTAGGACAAAAAGAAGTAGGAACAGGGCCTCGGGAGCAGTAATTCAAAACTGTAACAATCATTATGGCTTCCGCAGTACATACTACCTGGCTGTTGAGCATACAAGTATGCATTTCTAAAAAGGTTATGGTTAAAATCACAGGAATCTGGCTTCCAAATTTCAATCAAGGCACATTGGCAAGGACTCATTACCAACTGACTCCTAGCACTGCCACCAGCAACATCACCCAGGGGGAAAAAAAAAAAAAGTAAAGACCCAACAAAAGCCTCCCCAGTAGTCGCTTTATGTTGCAGCTGACTCAGATATCAATAGAACTCACTGCCTTTGATGTAGCCAGTCTAGCTCAAATGCTTCAGTCTCCTTTTTGCCCTTTCTCAGAAACAAGAAGAGGGTAGCAGGAAAGGAAAGCAAAGAAAAAGGGCAGAGGGAAAAGCAGCACACACAAAAAGATCCAGTGTTCACTACAGATCTCCGAAAGAAACCAGCCCTGGCATGTTTCAAAAAACCACCATCCATATATTCTACCATTTTGTGCAATTTAGTCCTGGCTGCAATTTAATCTAGTGATCTCATAACAGTGTGGATCTGTAAGACCCAGAAAGAAACACTACAGCAACTGAAATCAGTCAGGCTTGATAAATCAGATCATTGGGGAGAAGAAAGTCAAGCCTAAATTATTCTTAGGCTCAATGTGAAAGAAGCATCCTTTTAATTTGTCAAACGGCAACGATCTCTACATAATTCCTACATTAAATTTATAAAATGTTCATCCCTTGTTTGTTCAAATATTTTTTTCTTTCCCATGCTCCCTTCTTTTTAGAACTCCAATTACATGCATATTATAGACCTTTTAAAGACTGTCCCACATTTTCCAGGTTCTGTTCATTTTGTTTCAATCTCCTTTTCTCTCTGTTCTTCAAATTCAGTAATTCTTACTGAACTACAGTGCGATGATTTTTTTCTGTCATCTCTGTTTTGCTATTAAACTTATCCTGTAAAATTTTTATTTCTTTTTTTTTTTTTTTTTTTTGAGACGGAGTCTCGCTCTGTCGCCCAGGCTGGAGTGCAGTGGCGGGATCTCGGCTCACTGCAAGCTCCGCCTCCCGGGTTCACGCCATTCTCCTGCCTCAGCCTCCCAAGTAGCTGGGACTACAGGTGCCCGCCACTACGCCCGGCTAATTTTTTGTATTTTTAGTAGAGACGGGGTTTCATCATTTTAGCCGGGATGGTCTCGATCTCCTGACCTCGTGATCCGCCCGCCTCGGCCTCCCAAAGTGCTGGGATTACAGGCGTGAGCCACCACGCCCGGCCAAAATTTTTATTTCAAATAAATTTTTTTACAGTTTCTATTTCTCTGCCAGATTTCATAGCTTTGATTCTAAGTAGATTTTCCTGTGTGTAAATGAGTATAGTAATAACAGCTGCTTTAAAATCCTTATCAGCTAAGTTTAACATGTAGGTCATCTTGGGATCCAATCTCCATTAATTAGTTGGTCTCTTGAGAATGGGTCACACTTTCCGGTTTCTTCAAATTTTGAGTAACTTTAGATGTATCCTGGGCATTGTGGCAACTCTGGATTTTTCTATTCCTCCAAAGAATCCTGACTTTTTGTTTTGTTTTACCAGGTAGCTAAACTCAGATGGCAAACTTCTGTCTCTTGATGGCAGCACCAATCTCTATTTAGTTTTAAGCATTAGTGTGGATGCCCCATTCTGATGGTATGGGGCATGGTTCAGTGATTTGCATAGAATTTCTATGCAGAATTAGGGATGTCCCCTGGCAGGGCACTCTCTTTCTTCATGTTCCAATGACTGTGATTGATGGGACAAGTCATAACCACTGAAGGCTTCCTATGGACTTCCAGCTGTCACATGAGGCCTGCTATCAGGTGAGAAGCCATGAAAAACAAGAAACTCATCCAGTGACTGCTGGTCTTCCACATACCAACTGCCCTCCAGAAACCACTGTTGTTGGTTACTCTCTAGTGTCTTCATGTAGTTGTTTTTTTGTACTTTATCCAGGTTTATAGTTGGCAAATTAAGGCAGGATAAGTGAATCTGGTATTCATATAAGATTTACACTGGAATGCAAGTTTAACAAATAGACGAAATCAGTAATTTTATTTCATTTAATAAAATTACCAAAGTTAAAATTCTTGTTCAGATTTCTCTATGGGAAAGGAAGTACATGCCTGTAAAGACACACTGAGAAAACATAAACTCCCAACATCTTAGCTTTACTACAAAAACTTCTATCCAAAAGGGACTTAGATACAATGTCACTCTACTTTAAACTGTCATGTGCAAATGACATATTTGAAGCAACAAACTATCAACAGGAAAAGAACCACCATGGCTAAAGAAAATAGGAGCAGAAAGAAAAAAAGTTAACAAGAAGGAAAGAGACTTCCCTGCACCCCTCCCCCAACAACAACAACAAAAAAAAACACACCATTTAAAAAGTGAAAACAGTAACCCAAAAAATAAATAGGGGGATTTGGTATGTAGCAAGGATTGCTGAACACATTATCAGGATACAAATAACACTATATTAGTTAATTCACACATTCAAACTTTTCAGGGTTAACACTGTGTTAGCACTGTGCAAAGTTCTGAGGATAGAGATGAAATTATAACGGGCCGGGCGCAGTGGCTCACACCTGTAATCCCAGCACTCTGGGAGGCCGAGGCGGGCAGATCACCTGAAGTCAGGAGTTTGAGACCAGCCTGGCCAACATGGCAAAACCCCGTCTCTACTAAAAATACAAAAATTAGCCAGTCATGGTAGCAGGCACTTGTAATCCCAGCTACTTGGGAGGCTGAGGCAGGAGAATTGCTTGAACCCTGCAGGCAGAGGTTGCAGTGAGCCAAGATCATGCCACTGCACTCCAGCCTGGGCGACAGAGAGAGGCTCTGTCTCAAATAAAATAAAATAAAATAAAATTATACAGTCCTTGTCCTTAAAGAGCTTAATATCTAGTGAAAAATAAGAAATTAGCTATATAACTTGATAAGACAGAGAAGATGCAATGACAGTATATTCATTTTCTATTGATGTCATAAACTACCACAAACTTAGTAACTTAAAATAACAAAAAAAAAAACTCTGTTCCCCCATTCTGTAGGTTAGAAATCTGAGATCGATCTCACAGGGCTAAAAATCAAGGTGCCATCTGAGCTACATTCCTTTCAGGAGGCTCTATGGGAAAATCTTTCTCCCTGACCTTTATTGCAGCTTCTAGTGGGCACTTGCATCTCTTGGCTGCATGCAGCCCCTTTCTCCATCTTCAGAGCCAGCAAAGTCAAATTTATCTGACCTTTCTTCAATTGTCATCTCTCTCTCTGCCCACAGGCAAGAAAGGTTCTCTGCTTTTAAAGATTCCTATGATTAGACTGGCCCATCTGGGTAATCCAAGATGATCTCCACATCTCAAGGCCTTTCATCTTAATTATATCTTCAGAGAGAACCTTGTGCCATATAAGGTAAAATGTTCATAGGTTCCAAGGATAAGGACATGGACAACTTTGTGGGGGCCATTATCCTGTCTACCACAGAAAGTATCATAAATGGCTCAATAAACATGGAGCAAGGAAGGTATTTCTGTCCAGGCTGGGGGTGACAGGGTTCATGAATAATGTCACACCAGTGAACTTCCACTGTATCTTCTAAGAACGCATTACAATGATGGGTAAAATGCAGGGCGAGCTGTATCGGGGGCTGTGTACTTTCCAGGGAGAATAAACAGCCTGTACAAATGCATATGCACATAAAATTGCACACAATAGTCAGAAAACTGCTAGAAGTTTGATAGCAAAAGCTTGGTGAGTGTGTGTGTGATAGGAGCAGGAGAAAACGCCAGAAAGATAAAAAGAAACAATTATAGACTAATATGGAGTTAAATTTGACTCCAGGTGCAATGGGAAGCCATTAAAAGTCTGTAAGCATTAAAATAGCATGACATGTATGCCCAAGAAAGCAATTTTTGCCCTTGATATGAAAACACATTTGAAAAGGTAAGTCTGTGAAAAGGAACTTGGGAGGCTACTGCAGCTGTCCTGATAAAAACTAGTGAACCTAAATATGGGCAATAGTAATAGGGATGAAGAGGAGAAAACAAATTTGAGAAATATTTGAAAGGTAGCATGGCTAGAACTTAGTGATCCAATATACTTGAGAGTGAAGACTAAGTAGGAGTCTAGAAAGATTTTCACCTTAACTAGATAGATGATGGTACTGTTAAGGAAAAGCAGGCTAGGCCAGGCACAGTGGCTCACGCCTGTAATCCCAGCACTTTGGGAGGCTGAGGCAGGCGGATCACAAGGTCAGGAGATTGAGACTATCCTGGCTAACACGGTGAAACCCCATCTCTACTAAAAATACAAAAAATTAGCTGGGCGTTGTGGCGGTCACCTGCAATCCCAGCTACTCAGGAGGCTGAGGCAGCAGAATGGTGTGAACCTGGGAGGCGGAGCTTGCAGTGAGCTGAGATTGCACCACTGCACTCCAGCCTGGGCGACAGAGCGAGACTCCATCTCAAAAAAAAAAGAAAAAGCAGGCTGGGTGTGGTGGCTCAGGCTTGTAATCCTATCACTTTGGGAGGCCAAGGCGGGCAGATCACTTGAGGTGAGGCATTCAAAACCAGCCTGGCCAACATGATGAAACCCCATCTCTACTAAAAATACAAAAAAAAAAAAAAAAAATTAGCCGGGCGTGGTGGCGGGCACCTGTAATTCCAGCTATGCCGGAGGCTGAGGCAGGATAATCTTTTGAACCCGGAAGGCAGAGGTTGCAGTGAGCCAAGATCACACCACTGCACTCCAGCCTGGGTGACAGAGTGAGACGAAGGAAAGAAAAAGTAGATGAGCAAGTAGTAATTTCAGGGGAATACAAGTTAAATTCTAGTGTTACTTTTGAGGTGTCTTTGATACAGTCAAAGGATAACAGTTTGTGACAATGAGCACCAGAAAGATGGATATAGGGATCTAAAGTTCATGCAAAGTCTTGGTTAGAGCTGTAGATTTGGGAATCATTCGCACAAAAGTGATATAGTTTATGACATGAAGGTAGTTGAAACTGTCTAGACAAGTACATGCAGAAAAGTATGACTCAATGCAACACACTAAGGAAAACAAATATTTAGAAAGAAGCCAGACAGGAACAAGAAAGGCTGGAGTGATAGAAGCCATTAAGGAGGAGACTATTCCAGCAACACAGTAAGATTGATGCTTATAATTTAATGATGGCACCAAGTTGTCACGGAAAACTTAAGCTGTTAAGTAATTTATTAAAGTATATAATGTTTTTTAAGAAACATTTATCCAAGATGCTTAAAATAAAGTTTTCAGGAGGGAAAATCTTCAGTTGTAAAAACTGCCATTCAAAATGATCACCCTAAGTTTCAACGCAGTAGAAATCTGTCTAATACGTATTAGGTATTAAAAATCAAACATTTACAAATAACTGTGTCTACAAGGATTTTATTTATACTATTAAAATCTGGAAATAATCTATATAACATTAGGAGAATGATTATTTTAATATATAAATTAGAGCTATGAGAGGAACTTAATAGCATGTACAAATGCTTAATCAATGTAAAGTGATAACTAAAATACAGATGTGTTGCACTCCATACATATATAGTAAAAAAAAAAAAAAACAAAAAACAAAAAATACAAAAAAAGAGAAAAAAAGAAAGGGGAAGACTCAAATGTTCATAGTGATTATTCCTAGAAATTACAATTATGGGTAATTTTCATTTTTCTACTTTATATTCTAAAGTTTCCATAAGTTAAGGTCTACATATTTCAGAATTTCCGTAACAAACATGTATTACTAAAAATCAGAAAAACTGGAATATCTATTTTTAAGGGATAATTAAAAGTTAGTATTTTCAACTTTTTTTTTTTTTTTTGAGATGGAGTCTCGCTCTGTCATCAGGCAGGAGTGCAGTGGCGCAATCTCGGCTCACTGCAACCTCTGCTTCCCGGGTTCAAGCAATTCTCCTGCCTCAGCCTCTAGAGTAGGTGGGATTACAGGCGGGCGCCACCACACCCAGCTAATTTTTGTATTTTTAGTAGAGACGGGGTTTCACCATGTTGGTCAGGCTGGTCTCGATTTCGTGACCTCATGATCCACCTGACTTGGCCTCCCAAAGGGCTGGGATTACAGGCATAAGCCACCACACCCGGCCTCTTTATAACTTTTTAAGACAGTGCCTCACCCCTGGAAGAGACCTACTTCTACGGAGCAAACATTCAAATCTCTCTTCGTGAAGCTCTGGCTTAGAAAGGTCAAACAGAATAGTCATTACAATTAAGCAATGTAGTCAACTCAAAATCCTTCTCCACCAAAGGCTTCAGTTGTGTAAAAGATGACAGACATAGTAAGCAAAAGAGCCTAAAGGCAAATTATTTGGTTTGTTACCATGCAACCCGAGGAAACAGCTGTGTCCAAATACAGAGTGACATACAGATCACTCCAAGGAGTCAGGGCTACAACTAGTCGCCAAGGGTGCTGAGCTAGGCGCTCTCCAATCTCCACCTCCTTCTACTATGGCTCCAATTCTGTACACTGCTGAACAGAATCAGTACAGTGCTTCCCAAAAGAAAGGTAGGAAGTGTCTCTCTTCTTAAGAAATCTCCATGGCTTCCTTCACCCTTTAAAAAAGAAAAGTGTTTAAAAGCCGAGATGGTGTTTTCCTTAAAAGAGAATGTGTCCTCTTTATTTCTGGTGGATAATTTCTTATCTTCCAAAGAAGCTGCCACAATGATATATTACGGTAGGCCCTCAATCACCAAAAAAAAGCAGCACTCACTGTGGTGTTAAACAGACCTACACTAGAATTTTAGACATGCCTCTTACTATTTTAGATGTGTTACTTTTTAAAAACTGATTTAAAAATACAAATGCAGAATATATTATTTCTATGAGGTCTGGGGCAATTCATTCAACCTTCACTTTACAGGTTCAAGTTACTGATCAGAAAAAAGGGGATCATGTCCTCTTTGTAACACTGTGGGGAAGTATACAAGAAAACGTAACTAGAATGTCTCGCTACAGTTGGTGCCTGACTCACAGTAGATAATAAACTATAGTCATTACTGTTATTGTATTGAATGGACTGAGGAATACTTCTCCAAATCCACAACCTCATGAAATTTTTAGAGAAGGTTCATGATCTCAACAAGAACGTATAGTAATAATTTTACATGAGATGAGTAGACCCATGTTGGAGAGAAAAGCTGTCAACATGAGCTATAAGGAAATAGAAAGTGGATCAAGACCATCCTGGCTAACACGGTGAAACCCCATCTCTACTAAAAATATAAAAAATTAGCCAAGCGTGGTGGCGGGCGCCTGTAGTCCCAGCTACTCGGGAGGCTGAGGCAGAAGAATGGTGTGAACCCGGGAGGCCACAGTTTGCAGTGAGCCAAGATTGCGCCACTGCACTCCAGCCCGGGCGACAGAGCAAGACTCTGTCTCAAAAAAAAAAAAAAAAACAGAAAGTGGGCTACTCTGGGAACACTGCCTTTGGGGTAGCCCTGCTCTGCAAGGAACAGTAAAAAAATAAAATTAAATTAAAAAATAAAATTTTTTAAAAAGAAGAAAACAGAAAAGTGAGAGCAGTGGGTGTCCCCATAGAGACTGCAGCAGTGCAGTCCTTATTATTTGGATTCTGATTAAGAAGAAGAAGTCAGGATTGATTTTCATTTCTAACACCTTATTAACAGTCATCCTCAATTCAAAGCAGAAAGGTCTGTTTAACTAAAAATGTTCAGTGTATATATCCAAGTGACTAAACAATTAAACACCTCTGATTTTGCTTACAAGAAGAAGAATGAATTTGCAGAAGTTTAGAGTGGAAAGCCAGAAAGGGTATGATTCTTTACTCCAAAACTGAACTGTACCTTGGAAAAATGCCATGGACTACAAAAAAGAGCTTTTCTGATTTTCTAATTATGTTTGCAGCAAGACAAATAAGGAAGATCTAAGACTTAAGGCTCAGAGTGGTGATGTGTGAAAGTATATAAAAGAGTGCTTTTTCTATTTTATGTCCTCCTTTTCAATCAATGAGAATGAACTTCAGGGTACATAACATAGAATAAATAAGTCACACTATCTGACTTAAAGGAGTTAGTCCCAGGCTAGAAAGAGATACATCCTAAGTCCCAGAAGAAGATTATTTAAGAATAAAACAGATGGAAGATTACAAAGGGATTACAGTAGTTTGCAGTAAGAAGCTAGATTCAACAATCTGTAATCTATTGAGTTTTATCTCGGTGTCAGACACAAATTGTTAAAGGGATGGACTGTGCGCCTTTGAAAGGGAAGCAATAATCTAAAAGCTCAGCATATACCTTCAAGAAGACACACCACAGTTCTTTTTTTAAAATAAATTTTATCATCCAAGGGATTGGTAACAGAGACTAAGGAAAACTAAAAACACTGTGTCTGAATTTGAGTAAAACCTATGCCCAAATCCCCTATGTTATTGCTGTGAACAAACTGAAGAAATGTGAGTTGAGACGTCATGGTGGCTATAAGTATAAAGAGTGTGACTAAAATTCCCCTCCCGCCGCTCATGCTTTTGTCTGTGCTTCTAGGTGAAATCTAGGAATTTAGAGAAGCACTGTGGGAGGGGGAGAATATGCCTCGTGTCCCACTGTTGCCATCCTCAACCCTATAATGGTTCTGTAAACAAAGCAAAATGAGTAATTCATAAATATCTACAAGAAACGAGATTTTGTACAGGCAACGCCAACTCTTCCCCACTCCCACTCTGCCTAATTCTAATTAACACATTTGCCAATGACTTAAAAAAAAAATCTAATGATCAAATGATCAAATATACAGACCATATTAGGTTCACTAAGAACATTAATACATTAAAAGGCAGACTGAAGATCCAGAAGTCCTAAAAGGCTAAAAGGATGTACCAAGGACAGACATGAGAGGCCCAATACACCAAGATGAAATTTAATATGGATACACATAAACCATGTACTTCCATCAAAACACCCAGGTCCTTCACTGAAACTCCCAAATGAACTCACAGAAGACAAGAAATCTATCTTAAAGTAGCATACACAGAAAGGAATTGTGATTTTTGGTGCCTAAAAATCTGTCAGTAAGACGACAGATCGAGAAAGGAGATAATCTGGATCAATTTCTTGCTGCCTGTTAAGAGACCAAATGATCTTCAGTGAGTAACTCAAAACAGTTACGAAATTTGGGTCAAGATAACAACTAAGGTGTGCAAAGTCTCGTTCTGGGGTGATGAAAAGATTCAAAATTGATCACAGTGACAGTTGAACAACTCTCTGGATATACTAAAATAACTGTACACTTTAAATGGGTAAGTTATATAGCATGTGAATTACATCACGATAAGATTTTTTTTTAAACAGTTTAAACGGCTAGGGAGTGGCCAACAGAGCCGACTAGAGGCAGCTAGTGTGTGTGACTCTCACAGAGAGGAACAGAAAGGGTGAGTAAATACAACACCTTCAACTGAAACATCCAGGTACTCTCATTGGGATTAATCAAGGAAACAACTTGACCCACAGAGAACAGAGAAAAGCAAGGCAGGAAAACAGCGCACCTGGGAGCAACACGGAGCCAGGGGTTCCTCCCCGACTCAGGGAAGCAGTGAGTGAATGAGCGATCCCCAGAAACTATGCTTCTCCCACAGACCTTTGCAAACTTCAGGTTAAGAGATCGCCTTGTGAACCCACTCCACCAGGGCCTGCAGTCTTCAGTCTGACCAACAGAGCCATGTGGAGTCTTGGCATGCGTGAAGACCCTGGAGCCTTAGATACTTGGGCTTTCTGGCAAAAGTAGCTGTACCTCCAGCAGGGTGGGAGGTTAGACTCCTGTAAATACCCCTAGGAAAGAGGCTGAATCCAGGGGACTGACCAGCAAGAGCCCACAGGACCCACTTCCATGGCAGCCCACAAGATAAGACCCACTGGCTTGGAATTCTAGCCAGCTGCCAGTAGTGGCACTGCACCTCCCTAAGAAGGAGCTCCTAGGGGAAGAGGTGGGCCACCATCTTTGCCATTCCAGCCTTTGTGCTTTGGAGAATCTGTGCTGACCCAGAACAGAAGGGATGCCCCAGCACAGCACAGCACAGCTGCTCTACCCAAACGTGGCCAGGCTGTTGCTTTAAGCAGGTGCCCAATCCCATTCCTCTTCACTGGGTAGGACCTCCCAACCTGGGCCTCCAGCCACCCCCACCCAAGCTCTCCAGCCAACAGAGATCTGAAGTTCCCCTGGAACAAAGCTTCCGGAGGAAGGGGTGGCTACCATCTTTGCTGTTTGGGTGACTCAGCTGTTCCAGCCTTAGAGCTTCAGAGTGTCTGAGGCAACCGAGGGCTGAAGTGG
Source organism: Homo sapiens (assembly GCF_000001405.40). Lineage (NCBI taxonomy): Eukaryota > Metazoa > Chordata > Mammalia > Primates > Hominidae > Homo > Homo sapiens. The sequence continues at coordinate 85,453,666 of NC_000015.10, read as the reverse complement.
ACCCCCAGCACAGCACACATGCTCTACCAAAATGTGGCCAGACTGCTTTTTTAAGCAGTCCTGATCCTGCTCCTCCTCACTGGGGGACCTCCCAACTGGAGTCTCCAGCCACTTCCTATAGGTGCCTTTGGACCAGCAACAGGTCATTCCTCCCTGGGACAAAGTTCCCAGAGGGAAGGACAGGCAGCCATCTTTGCTGTTTCACAGTCTTCACTGGTAACACCTCCAGATTCTGGAAAATCTGAGGTGACCAGGGACTGCTGCAGGCCTCAAGTATACCACAGCAGCCCTAGGGAAAAGTGGCCCCACTGTTACGTGGGTGGCTGATCCCATATCTCCTCACAGGGCAGGTCCTCCAAGCCTGGGGCTCCAGCCACCCCCAACCAGAGCTACTCAGCTAGCACCAACTCAGCAACTCCCTGGACAGAGCCTCTAGTGGCAACTAAAAGCCTCTCGGCCACTGACTCTACTGTGGAACTGCCCTTGCCACCCTCGGTCTGATGAAGGAGCAAAGACATTAAGTGCTTTATCCACACTCCAACAAGCTGCAGTAAACTCAAGGAGAGGAGGCCAGTCCATCTCCCACAGGTCCCACACACCTCTGACGGCTCATCACCAGACAGGGAACCAACCCCTGGCTTGGGCCCGCAGCACTGACCCTCCATCCTGGGCTGACTGCACTAAGCAACTGCTCACCTGCATCTCTCTGAGGTGGAGCCCCCAGGAATCAAGCAAACAACCCTTGGCCAAAACCACTAATAAGATCTCTCCCTCTGCAGCCTGTAAGCTGGGGGAGGAACATAAATACTGAGATCTCCCCAGAGCTGTACTGGATGTCATGAACTACAGCCAGCACTCAAGGGGCAGAGAAACCCATACTTTCAGGACACTGAGAGGGAACATGGCTACAACTGTGAGGAAACATAGGGGAGCCACACAACTGAACAACTGTTTAGTCCACCAGCTGTCCAATAAGCCTAAGAGCCACCTGCTGGATCATACCCCAAAGCTTTAACACCAAAGATACCTGACATACCCTCCCCTCTGAAACCAGAAACAAGAAGTCAGCTTCAAATAAACACCCTACACAAAACCTCAACTCAGTGAAAACATGCAGTAAAGAAGTCTATTGACCATACTCAATCTACACTGCAGTTAAAGTAATACCCACACACACTGACGAGAAATAACCAACACAAGAACTCTAGTAACTCAAATGGCCAGAGTGTCATATGTCCTTCAAATGACTGTACCAGTTCTCCAACAACAGTTCTTAACCAGGCCAAATGGGCTGCAATGACAGAAATATAATTCTGAATATGGATAGGAACAAAGATCATTGAGATTCGGGATGATGACAAAACCCAACCCAAGGAAAATAAGAATCATAATAAAGTGATACAGGAGCTGAAGGATGAAATAACCAGTATTTAAAAAAAAAAAAAAACCCTAAGGGATCTGACAGAGCTGAATATCACACTACAAGAATTTCACAATACAATCACAAGAATTAACAGCAGAATAAACCAAAGCTAAGGAAAGAATTTCAGAACTTGAAGACTTGTTTTCTGAAATAAGACAGACGGAAATAAAGACAAAAGAATAAAAAGGAATGAACAAAACCTCCGAGAAATTATGTAAAGAGGACAAAACTACAAATCACTGGCATCCCTCAAAGGCAAGGGGAGAACGCCAACAACTTAGAAAATATGTTTCAGGGTATCATCCACAAAAACTTTCCCAACTTTGCTAGAGAGGCCAACAGTCAAATCCAGAAAATACAAAGAACTCCTGCAATATTCTACACATGAAGATTATCCTCAAGACACATAATTGTCAGATTTTCCAAGATGAAAATTAAAGAATAAATGTTAAAGGCAGTTAGGGAAAAAGAGCAGGTCACCTGCAAAGGGATCCCCATCAGGCTAACAGTGGATCTCTCAGCAGAAACCCTACAAGCCAGAAGAGACTGGGGGCCTATATTCAACATTCTTTAAAAAAATCTTCAAGAATTTCATATCCAGCCAAACTAAACTTCCGAAGCAAAAGAGAAATAAGATCCTTTTCAGGAAAGCAAATGTCGAGAGACTTCATTACCACCAGACCTGCCCTTAAAAGATATCTTGAAAGGAGCACTAAATATACAAAAGAAAGACCGCTACCAGTTAATACAAAAACACACTTAAACACAGACACCAGTATCACTGTAAATCAACCACACAAACAAGCCAACATAATAACCAGCTAACAGCACAATGACAGGATCAAATCCAGACACACCATTACTAATCTTGAATGTAAACAGGCTAAATGCCCCCACTTAAAAGGCACAAAGTGGCAAGGATAAAAAAGCAAGACCCAATGGTATGCTGTCTTCAAGAGACCCATCTCACTCATAGTGAAACTCCTAGGCTCAAAATAAAGGGATGGAGAAAAATCTACCAAGCAAATGGGAAACACAATCTACCAAGCAATGGGAAACACAAAAAAGGTTGCAATCCTAATTTCAAACAAAACAGACTCCAAACCAACAAGGATCAAAAAAGACAAGGAAGGGCATGGGATAATGGTAAAGGGTTCAATTCAACAAGAAGACCTAACTATCTTAAATATATATGCACCCAACAGAGGAGCACCCAGAGTCATAAAGCAAGTTCTTAGAGACCTACAAAGAGACATGGACTCCCCACACAATAATAGTGGGAGACTTCAACACTCCACTGACAGTATTAGACAGACTGAGCCAGAAAATAAACAAAGATATTCAGGACCTAAACTTAGCGTTGAACCAAATGGATCTGACAGACCTTTTACAGAAGTCTCCAACCAAAAGCAACAGAATATACATTCTTCTCATCACGACATGGCACATACTCTAAAATCAACCATATAATTGGACATAAAACAATCCTCACAAAAGTAAAAGAAACCAAATCATACCAAACACACACTCAGACCACAGCGCAATGAAAATAGGAGTCAACACAATGAAAATCACTCAAAACCATCCAATTACATGGAAAATAAGAACATGCTCCTGAATGACTTTTAGGTAAATAATGAAATTAAGGCAGAAATCCAGAAGTTATTTGAAAATAATGAGAACAAAGATACAACATAACAGAATCTCTGGGACACAGCTAAGGTGGTGTTAAGAGGAAAATTCATAGCACCAAATGCCCACACGAAAAAGAAAGATCTCAAATTAACAACCTAATCTCACAACTGAAAGAATTAGAGAAGAACAAATCAACCCCAAAGCTAGCAGAAGAAGAGAAATAACAAAAATCAGAGCTGAACTGAAGGAAATCAAGACATGAAAAATCATTCAAAAGATCGCTAAACTAATTAAGAAGAAAAGAGAGAAGATCCAAATAAACACAATTAGAAGTGACGCAGGGAATGTTACTACTGACTCCATAGAAATAAAAACAATCATGAGAAACTACTACAAACACCTCTACCCACACAAACTAGAAAAACTAGAAGAGATGGATAAATTCCTGGACACATACACCCCCACCCAGACTGAGCAAGGAATAAATTTATTCCCTAAACAGACCAATAATGAGCTCCAAAATTGAATCAGTAATAAAAGCATACCAACCAAAAAAGGCCTAGGACCTGATGGATTCACAGCCTAATTCTACTAGATGTACAAAGAAGAGCTGGTACCATTCTTACAGAAACTATTACAAAAAATTGAGGAGGAAGGACTTCTCCCAACTCACTCTATGAGGCCAGCATCATCTTGATACCAAAACCTAGCAGAAATACTACAAAAAAAGAGAAAACTTCAGGCCAATATCCTTGATGAATATCAGTGCAAAAATCCTCAATAAAATACTTGCAAAACAAATCCAACAGCACATCAAAAAGCTAATCCACCATGATCAAGTAAGCTTCATCCCCAGTTGCAAGTTGGTTCAACATACAAAAATCAATCAATGTGATTCATCACATAAACAGACTAATAAAAACCACATGATTATCTCAATAGATACAGAAAAGGCTTTTGATAAAACTCAACATCGCTTTAGGTTAAAAACTCTCAATAAACTAGGTATTGAAGGAACATACCTCAAAATAGTAAGAGCCACCTATGACAAATCCACAGCCAACATCATACTGAATGGGCAAAAGCATTCCCCCTTGAAAACCGGTACAAGACAAAGACGCCCTCTCTCACCACTTCTATTCAACATAGTATTGGAAATCCTAGCCAGAGCAATCAGGCAAGAGAAAGAAGTAAAGGGCACCCAAGTAGGAAGAAAGGAAGTCAAACTATCTCTATTTGCAGATGACATGATTCTGTATCTACAAAACCCCATAGTCTTGGCCCAAAAGCTCCTTCAGCTGATAAACAACTTCAGCAAAGTTGCAGGATATAAAAATCAATGTACAAAAATCACTAGCATTCCTATATACCAACAGCAACCAAATCGAGAGCCAAATCAGAAAGGCAATCCCATTCACAACTGCCATAAATAAAATAAAACAACATAAAATAACATAAAATAAAATACCTAGGAATACAGCTAACCAGGGAGGTGAAAGATCTATACAAGAAGAATTATAAAATACTGCTCAAAGAAATCAGACAAGACACAAACAAATGGAAAAACATCCATGCTCATGGATAGGAAGAATCAATATCATTAAAATGGGTATACTGCCCAAAGCAATTTACAGATCCAATGTTATTTCTATTAAACTACCAACGACATTCTTCACAGAACTAGAAAAAAAAATTTTTTTAATTATATGGAACCTGAGGAAAAAAGTTTTCTTTTTTCTTTTCAGAAAAAAAAAAAAAAAGCCTGAATAGCCAAGGCAATCCTTAGCAAAAAGAACAAAGCTGGAAGAATCACGTTACTCAATTTCAAACTATACTAAAGGCTACAGTGACCAAAACAGCATGGTACTGGTACAAAACAGGCACACAAACCAATGGAACAAAATAGAGAGCCCAGAAATAAGGTCACACATCTACGACCATCTGATCTTTGACAAAGGTGACAAAAACAAGCAATAGGGAAAAGACTCCCTATTCAATAAATGGTGCTGGGATAACAGGCTAACCATATGTACAAGTTTGAAGCTGGACCCCTTCCTTACATTCTGTATAAAAATTAACTCAAGATGGATTAAAGACTTAAATGTAAAACCCAAATCTATAAAAACCCTGGAAGATAACCTAGGTGATATCATCCTGGACTTAGGAACGGGCAAAGATTTCATGACAAAGACACCAAAAGCAATCACGAAAAAAAGGAAAAATTGATAAATGGGATCTAATTAAGCTTAAGAACTTCTGCACAGCAAAACAAACTGTCAACAGAGTAGACAATCTACAGAATGGGAGAAAATATTTGCAAACTATGCATGTGACAAAGGTCTAATATCCAGCATCTACAAGGAACTTAAATTACAAAAGAAAAACAAACAACCCTATTAAAAAGTGAGCAAATGACATGAACATACACTTCTCAAAAGAAGACATACATGTAGCCAACAAGCATATGAAAAAAAAGCTCAATATCAGTGATCATTAGAGAAATGCAAATCAAAACCACAATAAGACATCAACTCACACAACTCAGAATGGCTATTATTAAAAAGTCAAAAAAACAGCAGATGCTGGCAAGGTTGCAGGGAAAAGGAACCCTTATACACTGCTGGTGAGTTGGTAAATTAGTTCAACCATTGTGGAAAGCAGTATAGCGATTCCTCAAAGAGCTAAAAGCAGAACTACCATTCAACCCAGCAATCCCATTATTGAGTATATACCCAGAGGATTATAAATCATTCTACCATAAAGACACATGCACACAAATGCTCACTGCAGCACTGTTCACAACAGCAAAGACAAGGAATCAACATAAATGCCCATCAATGACAGACTGGATAAAGAAAATGTGGTACATATACATCTTGAAATATTACATAGCCATTAAAAAGAATGAGATCATGTCTTCTCTGGGAACATGGATGAAGCTGGAGGCTATTATCCTCAGCAAATTAACACAAGAACAGAAAATCAAATACTGCCATGTTCTCACTTGTAAGTGGAAGCTAAATGATAAGAACTTACTAACACAAAGAAGGAAACAACAGACACTGGGGTCTATTTGGGGGTGGGGGAGGAGGGAGAGGAGCAGAAAAGATAACTATTATGTACTGAACTTAATACCTGGGTGATGTAATAATATGTAAAACAAACACCCGTGACATGTGTTTATCTGTGTAGCAAACCTTAACATGTATCCCCAAACCTAAAATAAAATTTTTTTTTAAAAAAGGAGTTAAAAATCAAATCCAGGTCCATATCCTATCCATTTTGCTGAAGAACTCTTATTTTAAAATAATAATAATAACAGATTTATTTATTTATTTATTTTGAGATGGAATCTCACTCTGTCACCAGGCTGGAATGCACTGGTGCAATCTCAGCTCACTACAACCTCCACCTCCCCGGTTCAAGAGATTCTCCTGCCTCAGCCTCCCAAGTAGCTGGGATTACAGGTGCGCACCACCACGCCCAGCTAATTTTTGTATTTTTGGTAGAGATGGAGTTTCATCATGTTGGCCAGGATGGTCTCAATCTCTTGACCTTGTGATCTCCTGGCCTCGGCCTCCCAAAGTGCCGGGATTACAGGTGTGAGCCGCCACACCCGGCCTAAATTTATTATTTTAAAAAGCAAATCAGTAGCTCTGTCATTTTCTGACTACACATTCACTTTTTTAAGTTTAACCCATTTTCCCATTCCTTCCTTGGTGAAACCCAGATATTTATGCTGCCTTTAAGAGCACACCATTTATTTATATAATGTTTAACAATGTGTGATGAATTTTAAATTCAATCCTCTTCATCAGAGCCTGGACTAGAGCTTTAAGAAGGGCTGGAAAGCCTGGACAACACAGCGAGACTCTGTCTCAAAAAAAAAAAAAAAAAAGAAAAAGAAAAAGAAGGGCTGGGCAAAGCGGGGAAGACGAAAAGGCATGTTTACTTGGCCAGACCAGCTAATTCCAGATTGTCCTCGCATCCAACAAATATCTTTCCATCCCATTCTCTCAGTTTCAACTATTGCTTATAGGCAAACCACTCTCAACTTTGAGTCTCTAGCCCTAAAGTCTTTTCTAAGCTCCATAACCTAATTGCCAAGTGCCTGCTAGACATCCTAGTCCCCTTGGATGTTCTGCACTGAATCCATCTTCTACATGCTCATTCGTTGTCCTTTATCCTCATTAACGGTCTCACCTCAAGCTCTCATAAAACCATTTCCTTCTCCTTCACTGCCTACATTGCCTCCCAACAAATCCTATTTCGTTTACCTCCACACTGTCTCCTTATCCACCCCTGCTGCCCAAGTCGTTGTCCTCACTCCTGGACCTATTCCCTGCTGTTGTCTTTGCCTCTAAGCATAACTATCTTCCACGTTATCACAAGGTTCAACTGCCCCACAACTTCAATATAGTATGTGTCAATTCTCTGGTCAAATCTTTCCAAGGACTTCTTGCTTTCTTCACATTAAAGCCAAACTCCCTAGTCCCAAATCACTATCTATACCTTTATTTCCTGCTGCCATCACAACTCTAGCAATACCAAGTTGCTCACCAACCATGGCACTTCTACAACTAAATCAAAATAAATAGAAAAAAGTGTATATTTTTAAACAAAGGGGGGGATTTAGAATGTTCCCAACACAAATGTTAAATGCTTGAGGTGATGGATATCCCAATTACCCTGATTTGATCAGTACACATTGTAGATTGTATTAAATATCACATGTACCCCATAAAAATGTACAATTATGTATCCATAGAAATTAAAAATAAAATTACCTTAAGAATTAAAAATAAATAGAAGCATCAAGTACAGTGCCATTACAAGGAGAAAAATATGAATAATTTTTAGCTCTCTCTGTTTGTGCCTTAATTTTTAGCTCTGTTTGTGCCTTAATTAAATACAGACTGATTTTTTTCACAGACAGTTGGCATCTTTCTCTCCAAGTTTGTAAGTAAGTACTATAATAAAGGTAAGTCACAGTGCTATGAAAGTCCAAAGGAAGATGTAATTAAATGACTGCTCATAAGAGCACGCTGTCATATAAACTACTTCCATAATATGACAAGTGGGTAGAAAAATACAATTAAATAACATTTCAGGAAACAAAACATCCTAAATAACTAAATTTCCTGCCTAAATTATTTATGCATCAATGATTACAAAAAATCCTAAGATGTATGGGTTTTCTTTCCTGTCTCAAGAATTAGAACATATCAGTCAGTTTTCTCTGGGCTACCAGTGATACCATCAAAGCCTGTAACTCCCACTGTGAGCTCTCGAAATGCAAATTCAGAGATGAAGCCCCTTTCAGTGGTAAGGTGCCAAGTTGCTGACCATTTTCTTTGGTATTGTAGGGGCCTCAAAACAATGCCCACAAACTGTACTAACTGAATGTTCACAAGAGTTATCCAGCATCTTTTAAACACAGATAAGGACATTCATTCCAAAGAACTGTTTTGATCATAGGTTTTTTTGATCAGATAGTTTCCCAGTACTTATCAGAGATCAGAGGATAAGGGCTTTTTGACTGAATAAGCATATGGAAGGTGAGGGAAAAGAAGGGAACAGTTCATTTAAAGTATTATATACTTTAAGAGAATACAGTAAATGGAAAAGCAACATGCATGACCCCTTTGCAACTTCTTTCCGCCTTAATTCCCTCAGCTAAAAAACAGATTTCAAAACAGCTATGATGATTGTACCATATGAAGAGTTAACTCCTTTTGTGGTAACAGAATACCCAAAGGCAAAGGGGCTAGGAGAGAAAGCCTCCAGGAAGTAAGAGGTCCAAAAAGGAAAGCTTAAGGACACAAAGAACAAAATTAATTCACCAGGAAGGGCTGCTAGAGTCCTGGTGTTGACTTCACTAAATTTTAACTAAATTACAATCCCCTTCCCACAAAAGCCTCTGTGGCCATGTCTTCTGAAAAAGATTAAGACTGATTCTGTAGTCCATCTTAGACATTCTAAAAAGATTACATTGAGTTTTTTGGCATTTCACTTACAGATTTTCTTCCCAATTTTTCTAACATGTGAAAAGGGAAAAGACATCTGTGCAAAGATTTTACTCTAAACAACTGCTTGCTCCCATGTAGATTCGTTCTGCAACCAAGTCAAAGGTTCACTGGCACTAGAATAAGAGATGTGAAAACATTTTACTTTTTATTGCCTTTAGGATTTCATTTCCACACCTCCTCAACTACCTTTTATTGCTCATCCTAGTTCACTAGTCCAAATGTACTAAGGTGAAATCTGGAAGGGGCCACCTTTCATTGTTTTCTATTTTGTCTGTCTGAATAAGCCTGAGGTAGCAGCAACGTGCTCCACTCTAGCCTGAGTTCTAAATGTTGAACCCAAGCATAACACCTGTCAGGAATAAATATAATTCATATAACAAGTAGCTGGCTCGAGTGGAAAGCCCTAAATCACTAAATAAAATAATTTAGCAATTAATAGAGTGGATTAATATAAAGAAGTCTGCTTCAAACTGTCCAAATATCCCACCTCCCTTTGTACTCATTATAGCCCCAAGCCTTAGCCCGAATCACTAGGATAAAAATTCCTGCCAGCAGATGTCAATCAGGGGAAAGGCCCTGAATTCCTGTACAAACATATCAACCACCTTTCTGTTTTCAAAAAGGTTACTATGGCAACAAAATAAACAACAGATTAGAATAAGCTATGCCATTTGATGAAGTGAGCACATCAATGGCAAGTTCTGGCAGTCAAGTAGCCTTGACAGTCATAAATACCTCCTAAATGAAGAAGGAAAAATCAGGCTCCAGAATCACAAATACCCTACACACACACACACACACACACACTTTTTTTTTTTTACATGAAACCAGTGCTTTTTACCCACTGACACAAATGCAAATACAGTCATGTACCACAAAATGACTTTCCAGTCAACCACGAACCGCATATAAGACAGCAGTCGGTCACATAAGATTATAATGCTGTATTTATACTGTACCTTTTCTATGTTTAGATATAGATACTTACCATTGTGTTACAACTGCAAATACTCTGTGCCCATATCGCCAGAAATTTATTTCATGGTTCTACTAACAAAAACAAATAATAATAATAAGGAATGCTGATACACCACAGAAGGATCCTTGCTGAGTAGGTAGTTCATTTTACAGATGAAGAAAGTGAGTGGACTTGCCTGGGAATCCACAGCTAGTAATTAGTTAATACTTAAGAAAGTAAAATTGATGATGAAATCAATCCAATTCAAGAAATGTTCCCTATTAAAACTCTAAGCTCTCTCACTTTATCTTTTTATTCAGCTAATAAACACCAAAGCTAAAACAGGGCCTCAGAGTTGAAAGCACAATACAGAAAGGAGAAGAGAAACAAGTCTTAATTTGAGTAGGACATAAGGGGATCTTGGGACTTCTAAATCTGATAGAAAATAAAAGGAAGACCACAGAAGCCAGAAAACTGTGTTGGGGGGTGGGGGGAGAACTATCTTTCTTAAACCATGAAATAAGACACAGGTTAACAATTTTAACTGAATGATACTTAAGTTTTCCCCAACTTTTCAAACCTACCACATACTAGCTGAGTGACACTGGGCAAATTATTTAACCCAAGCCTAAAAAAAGCAGGGAGTTAGGGAGGATGAAGAGAGGAAACAAATTTTTCATGCTATTTTAATGTAATTTTAATGCTTCACAGAGCTTTCTGGGATACAAGGCCTAGCTCACAATAGATGCTCATCAAATGTGAGTTCCCATCCTTTTCCCTTCTCAAGAGAAATATTTTTTAAAAGGCCTGAATCCTTCAGTAGATCCAAAAATTATTCCAAGAAACTAAGTGGTCCAGAGTCCCTATTTCAATTGCACAAAATTAAAAGTGTTGCTGAGCCAAAATCAGGATGGCAATGATAGGGGAAGAAAGTTTTTTCTTCATACTTGTGGTAATTTCCAAACGTTTCTGTAATAAACATGTTTTAGTTTTATAGTTAGAAACAACTATTTGGAAAAAGAAAATAAAATGTTTTAAGAAGAGTTTCATCATTCTCATGCTAGAAATAAATATATATATAATATATATTATATATAATATAATATATATTATATATAATATAATATATATTATATATATTATATAATATATATTATGTATATTATATATGTATATTTTATATTATATATATATATATTTTTTTTTTTTTTTGAGACAGAATCTTGCTCTATCACCCAGGCTGGAGTGCAGTGGCACGATCTCGGCTCACTGCAACCTCCGCCTCCTGGGTTCAAGCAATTCTCCTGCCTCAGCCTCCTGAGTAGCTGGGATTACAGGCACCTGCCACCATGCCCAGCTAATTTTTGTATTTTTAGTAGAGACGGGGTTTCACCATGCTGGCCAGGCTGGTCTCGAACTCCTGACCTCGTGATCCGCCCACCTCAGCCTCCCAAAGCGCTGGGATTACAGGCATGAGCCACCGCGCCCAGCCTAAAAATATTTTTAACAAATGTTCTGTCCAATAGCTTGTACTATCCTAGGCTTACCCAGCCCTAACTGTGCAAAATAAGATTTCATAATCATCCCTAGGGAGAGGATAACAGAGTCACCTTCTTAACTAAAGCCAAATTGACCAGAACTCTATTCGTTGTTCCCAAAGACTGTGAATATCTTCTTAAAGGGCAGAATAAAGCAAAGTGAACTATGATAGAAAAGCTCCCTACAATAAGGCCAAGACCCAAGACAAACTCCTTTCCTCCCTCTTCTCCCAATTCAGTCAGAAAATGAAGGCGTGTGTTCACAGCATATGTAAGACTATTTACTGCAGTAATACAGTTTAACAGAAAAAAAAAACTTTTAAGAGACTTGTCAATAAATGGCACCAGAACAAGCAAATATCCACATGCAAAAAATGAACTTATACCCTAGCTTACACCATACACAAAAATAAACCCAAATATGGATCACAGATACAAACTTACAAAATAAACTATGAAATATCTACAAGAAAACATAAGAGAAAATCTTTGTGATCTTGGCTAAGGCAAAGATCCCTTAGATATATGACAACAAATGTATGATCCATAAAAGAAAACATGATACACTAGATTTCATCAAAATTAAAAACTTTTCCTCTTCAAAAGACACCATCAAGAAAATTAAAAGACAAGACTCTACGTCAGAGACTAGGAAAAAATATTTACCAATTATATAAACTAATAAAGGGCCTATATCCAGGATATATAAAGAACTCTTATAACTCAATACAAAAACAGTAAATTTTTTTAATAGGCAAAAGGTTTGAACAGACACTTGACCAAAGAAAATAAACAAATGGCAAATATGAACAGTAAAAAAAAGCTTAACATTATTGGTCATTATCAATACACACCCACCAGAACGGCCATTAAAAAAAAGATTAAAAATACCAAGTATTGGCAAAATGTGTGGAAAACTGAAGCCCTCATATATTGCTGGAGGAACTGTAAAATGTATAGCCACTTTGGAAAACAGTGTTACCCAGCAATTCCACTCCTAGGTATCTACATATGTGAAAACATAATTACAAAAAAGACCTCAAGTGAACAGAAATGTGTAAACCTTCGAATGACACCAATGACATCAGTTTGTTTTGTTTTGTTTTTTTAGAGTTTCTCTTGCTTTCAAACCGTGGGCTCTTATAACTGCTATATCAGTCCCTACAGTGAAATCTACTTGCACTATTTAAGCCACTGCAGAATTTTTTTAAAAATTTCCACCACACTAAGCCATTCCCAAAATTAATCCTTGGCTTCTAAATGGTCATCATTACCTTGGTAGAGGTGAGAAAAAAGAGGCAGAAGTAAACTTCTTCAAACTGCATATATGACAAGAGTAACTGGATGGCTCTGAGAAAGCAGCTTTCATAGCAAAAAGGAAAGTGTGTAAGAGAACTTGATGCAACGCCCTGTTGACAACTTTGTCACTGTTTAGATACTCCCCTCCCTTTTAGGTACCTGAATGACCTCAGGTGAAAACTGATTTTGAAAAGAGTCATCTATGCAAATCCTAGACAGAACATTTTTTACTGATGAATATAGAAAGAAGAAAGCTCCTTTATCTATTTGACAAGCTCTTTTTCATCGGCCTGTTTAAGATTTTGCATCAGCTCTTCAGTATCAAAGTCAAGATCCTCCCAGATAAAATCCATGAATTTACAATACAGTCAGTAAGTTACAATAACAGCAGCATTTCAGAACACATGAATAAATTCCAGGAAAAGGGAAATTTAAATTAAGAAAAAGTTTTCATCTATAAAACAGAAATATGCCTGACAGAAACAGAGCTATAAAGTTGTGTGAACAAGTCTATAACAAGTAAGCTAGCTGAGGACCTGCTAGTCATGGTCAAAAGAAAAGGCAAAGGGAGGAGATGACCATTGTGTGTGCTTAGAGGAAGGGAAGGGCAGAGACATTCTGACTGGTTCTTCTATATGAACAAACTGGTTCAGCTAAAGTAATTGCTAAATACATAAAGGGTGGGCACAGAACACTGCCAACACTGAAAGCTTTGTTAGGTGTTCTTTTTCCTTTACAGTAATTTCCAAATGCTTCCTTAACTTTTCAGTGACAACCTGGTTTTTATTTATTATTATTATTATTATTATTTTTTATTATACTTTAAGTTTTAGGGTACATGTGCATATTGTGCAGGTTAGTTACATATGTATACATGTGCCATGCTCGTGCGCTGCACCCACTAACTCGTCATCTAGCATTAGGTATATCTCCTAATGCTATCCCTCCCCCCTCCCCCCACCCCACCACAGTCCCCAGAGTGTGATATTCCCCTTCCTGGGTCCATGTGATCTCACTGTTCAATTCCCACCTATGAGTGAGAATATGCGGTGTTTGGTTTTTTGTTCTTGCGATAGTTTACTGAGAATGATGATTTCCAATTTCATCCATGTCCCTACAAAGGACATGAACTCATCATTTTTTATGGCTGCATAGTATTCCATGGTGTATATGTGCCACATTTTCTTAATCCAGTCTATCATTGTTGGACATTTGGGTTGGTTCCAAGTCTTTGCTATTGTGAATAATGCCGCAATAAACATACGTGTGCATGTGTCTTTACAGCAGCATGATTTATAGTCATTTGGGTATATACCCAGTAATGGGATGGCTGGGTCAAATGGTATTTCTAGTTCTAGATCCTTGAGGAATCGCCACACTGACATCCACAATGGTTGAACTAGTTTACAGTCCCACCAACAGTGTAAAAGTGTTCCTATTTCTCCACATCCTCTCCAGCACCTGTTGTTTCCTGACTTTTTAATGATTGCCATTCTAACTGGTGTGAGATGGTATCTCATTGTGGTTTTGATTTGCATTTCTCTGATGGCCAGTGATGATGAGCATTTTTTCATGTGTTTTTTGGCTGCATAAATGTCTTCTTTTGAGAAGTGTCTGTTCATGTCCTTCGCCCACTTTTTGATGGAGCTGTTTATTTTTTTTCTTGTAAATTTGTTTGAGTTCATTGTAGATTCTGGATATTAGCCCTTTGTCAGATGAGTAGGTTGCGAAAATTTTCTCCCATTTTGTAGGTTGCCTGTTCACTCTGATGGTAGTTTCTTTTGCTGTGCAGAAGCTCTTTAGTTTAATTAGATCCCATTTGTCAATTTTGGCTTTTGTTGCCATTGCTTTTGGTGTTTTGGACATGAAGTCCTTGCCCATGCCTATGTCCTGAATGGTAATGCCTAGGTTTTCTTCTAGGGTTTTTATGGTTTTAGGTCTAACGTTTAAATCTTTAATCCATCTTGAATTGATTTTTGTATAAGGTGTAAGGAAGGGATTCAATTTCAGCTTTCTACATATGGCTAGCCAGTTTTCCCAGCACCATTTATTAAATAGGGAATCCTTTCCCCATTGCTTGTTTTTCTCAGGTTTGTCAAAGATCAGATAGTTGTATATATGCGGCGTTATTTCTGAGGGCTCTGTTCTGTTCCATTGATCTATATCTCTGTTTTGGTACCAGTACCATGCTGTTTTGGTTACTGTAGCCTTGTAGTATAGTTTGAAGTCAGGTAGTGTGATGCCTCCAGCTTTGTTCTTTTGGCTTAGGATTGACTTGGCGATGCAGGCTCTTTTTTGGTTCCATATGAACTTTAAAGTAGTTTTTTCCAATTCTGTGAAGAAAGTCATTGGTAGCTTTATGGGGATGGAGTTGAATCTGTAAATTACCTTGGGAAGTATGGCCATTTTCACGATATTGATTCTTCCTACCCATGAGCATGGAATGTTCTTCCATTTGTTTGTATCCTCTTTTATTTCCTTGAGCAGTGGTTTGTAGTTCTCCTTGAAGAGGTCCTTCACATCCCTTTTAAGTTGGATTCCTAGGTATTTTATTCTCTTTGAAGCAATTGTGAATGGGAGTTCACTCATGATTTGGCTCTCTGTTTGTCTGTTGTTGGTGTATGAGAATGCTTGTGATTTTTGTACATTGATTTTGTATCCTGAGACTTTGCTGAAGTTGCTTATCAGCTTAAGGAGATTTTGGGCTGAGACAATGGGGTTTTCTAGATATACAATCATGTCATCTGCAAACAGGGACAATTTGACTTCCTCTTTTCCTAATTGAATACCCTTTATTTCCTTCTCCTGCCTAATTGCCCTGGCCAGAACTTCCAACACTATGTTGAATAGGAGTGGTGAGAGAGGGCATCCCTGTCTTGTGCCAGTTTTCAAAGGGAATGCTTCCAGTTTTTGCCCATTCAGTATGATATTGGCTGTGGGTCTGTCATAGATAGCTCTTATTATTTTGAAATACATCCCATCAATACCTAATTTATTGAGAGTTTTTAGCATGAAGGGTTGAATTTTGCCAAAGGCTTTTTCTGCATCTATTGAGATAACCATGTGGTTTTTGTCTTTGGCTCTGTTTATATGCTGGATTACATTTATTGATTTGCGTATATTGAACCAGCCTTGCATCCCGGGATGAAGCCCACTTGATCATGGCGGATAAGCTTTTTGATGTGCTGCTGGATTCGTTTTGCCAGTATTTTATTGAGGATTTTTGCATCAATGTTCATCAAGGATATTGGTCTAAAATTCTCTTTTTTGGTTGTGTCTCTGCCCGGCTTTGGTATCAGAATGATGCTGGCCTCATAAAATGAGTTAGGGAGGATTCCCTCTTTTTCTATTGATTGGAATAGTTTCAGAAGGAATGGTACCAGTTCCTCCTTGTGTCTCTGGTAGAATTCAGCTGTGAATCCATCTGGTCCTGGACTCTTTTTGGTTGGTAAACTATTGATTATTGCCATAATTTCAGCTCCTGTTATTGGTCTATTCAGAGATTCAACTTCTTCCTGGTTTAGTCTTGGGAGAGTGTATGTGTTGAGGAATTTATCCATTTCTTCTAGATTTTCTAGTTTATTTGCGTAGAGGTGTTTGTAGTATTCTCTGATGGTAGTTTGTATTTCTGTGGGATCGGTGGTGATATCCCCTTTATCATTTTTTATTGTGTCTATTTGATTCTTCTCTCTTTTTTTCTTTATTAGTCTTGCTAGTGGTCTATCAATTTTGTTGATCCTTTCAAAAAACCAGCTCCTGGATTCATTGATTTTTTGAAGGGTTTTTTGTGTCTCTATTTCCTTCAGTTCTGCTCTGATTTTAGTTATTTCTTGCCTTCTGCTAGCTTTTGAATGTGTTTGCTCTTGCTTTTCTCTAGTTCTTTTAATTGTGATGTTAGGGTGTCAATTTTGGATCTTTCCTGCTTTCTCTTGTGGGCATTTAGTGCTATAAATTTCCCTCTACACACTGCTTTGAATGCGTCCCAGAGATTCTGGTATGTTGTGTCTTCGTTCTCGTTGGTTTCAAAGAACATTTTTATTTCTGCCTTCATTTCGTTATGTACCCAGTAGTCATTCAGGAGCAGGTTGTTCAGTTTCCATGTAGTTGAGCGGCTTTGAGTGAGATTCTTAATCCTGAGTTCTAGTTTGATTGCACTGTGGTCTGAGAGATAGTTTGTTATAATTTCTGTTCTTTTACATTTGCTGAGGAGAGCTTTACTTCCAACTATGTGGTCAATTTTGGAATAGGTGGGGTGTGGTGCTGAAAAAAATGTATATTCTGTTGATTTGGGGTGGAGAGTTCTGTAGATGTCTATTAGGTCCGCTTGGTGCAGAGCTGAGTTCAATTCCTGGGTATCCTTGTTGACTTTCTGTCTCGCTGATCTGTCTAATGTTGACAGTGGGGTGTTAAAGTCTCCCATTATTAATGTGTGGGAGTCTAAGTCTCTTTGTAGGTCACTCAGGACTTGCTTTATGAATCTGGGTGCTCCTGTATTGGGTGCATATATATTTAGGATAGTTAGCTCTTCTTGTTGAATTGATCCCTTTACCATTATGTAATGGCCTTCTTTGTCTCTTTTGATCTTTGTTGGTTTAAAGTCTGTTTTATCAGAGACTAGGATTGCAACCCCTGCCTTTTTTTGTTTTCCATTTGCTTGGTAGATCTTCCTCCATCCTTTTATTTTGAGCCTATGTGTGTCTCTGCATGTGAGATGGGTTTCCTGAATACAGCACACTGATGGGTCTTGACTCTTTATCCAATTTGCCAGTCTGTGTCTTTTAATTGAAGCATTTAGTCCATTTACATTTAAAGTTAATATTGTTATGTGTGAATTTGATCCTGTCATTATGATGTTAGCTGGTGATTTTGCTCGTTAGTTGATGCAGTTTCTTCCTAGTCTCGATGGTCTTTACATTTTGGCATGATTTTGCAGCGGCTGGTACCAGTTGTTCCTTTCCACGTTTAGCGCTTCCTTCAGGAGCTCTTTTAGGGCAGGCCTGGTGGTGACAAAATCTCTCAGCATTTGCTTGTCTGTGAAGTATTTTATTTCTCCTTCACTTATGAAGCTTAGTTTGGCTGGATATGAAATTCTGGGTTGAAAATTCTTTTCTTTAAGAATGTTGAATATTGGCCCCCACTCTCTTCTGGCTTGTAGGGTTTCTGCCGAGAGATCCGCTGTTAGTCTGATGGGCTTCCCTTTGAGGGTAACCCGACCTTTCTCTCTGGCTGCCCTTAACATTTTTTCCTTCATTTCAACTTTGGTGAATCTGACAATTATGTGTCTTGGAGTTGCTCTTCTCGAGGAGTATCTTTGTGGCATTCTCTGTATTTCCTGAATCTGAACGTTGGCCTGCCTTGCTAGATTGGGGAAGTTCTCCTGGATAATATCCTGCAGAGTGTTTTCCAACTTGGTTCCATTCTCCCCTTCACTTTCAGGTACACCAATCAGACGTAGATTTGGTCTTTTCACATAGTCCCATATTTCTTGGAGGCTTTGCTCATTTCTTTTTATTCTTTTTTCTCTAAACTTCCCTTCTCGCTTCATTTCATTCATCTTCCATTGCTGATACCCTTTCTTCCAGTTGATCGCATCGGCTCCTGAGGCTTCTGCATTCTTCACGTAGTTCTCGAGCCTTGGTTTTCAGCTCCATCAGCTCCTTTAAGCACTTCTCTGTATTGGTTATTCTAGTTATACATTCTTCTAAATTTTTTTCAAAGTTTTCAACTTCTTTGCCTTTGGTTTGAATGTCCTCCCGTAGCTCAGAGTAATTTGATTGTCTGAAGCCTTCTTCTCTCAGCTCGTCAAAGTCATTCTCCATCCAGCTTTGTTCCGTTGCTGGTGAGGAACTGCGTTCCTTTGGAGGAGGAGAGGCGCTCTGCATTTTAGAGTTTCCAGTTTTTCTGTTCTGTTTTTTCCCCATCTTTGTGGTTTTATCTACTTTTGGTCTTTGATGATGGTGATGTACAGATGGGTTTTCGGTGTGGATGTCCTTTCTGTTTGTTAGTTTTCCTTCTAACAGACAGGACCCTCAGCTGCAGGTCTGTTAGAATACCCTGCCGTGTGAGGTGTCAGTGTGCCCCTGCTGGGGGGTACCTCCCAGTTAGGCTGCTCGGGGGTCAGGGGTCAGGGACCCACTTGAGGAGGCAGTCTGCCGGTTCTCAGATCTCCAGCTGCGTGCTGGGAGAACCACTGCTCTCTTCAAAGCTGTCAGACAGGGACACTTAAGTCTGCAGAGGTTACTGCTGTCTTTTTGTTTGTCTGTGCCCTGCCCCCAGAGGTGGAGCCTACAGAGGCAGGCAGGCCTTCTTGAGCTGTGGTGGGCTCCACCCAGTTCGAGCTTCCCGGCTGCTTTGTTTACCTAATCAAGCCTGGGCAATGGCGGGCGCCCCTCCCCCAGCCTCGCTGCCGCCTTGCAGTTTGATTTCAGACTGCTGTGCTAGCAGTCAGCGAGATTCCGTGGGCGTAGGACCCTCCGAGCCAGGTGTGGGATATAATCTCGTGGTTCGCCGTTTTTTAAGCCGGTCTGAAAAGCGCAATATTCGGGTGGGAGTGACCCGATTTTCCAGGTGCGTCCGTCACCCCTTTCTTTGACTCGGAAAGGGAACTCCCTGACCCCTTGCACTTCCCAAGTGAGGCAATGCCTCGCCCTGCTTCGGCTCGCGCACGGTGCGCGCACCCACTGGCCTGCGCCGTCTGGCACTCCCTAGTGAGATAAACCTGGTACCTCAGATGGAAATGCAGAAATCACCCGTCTTCTGCGTCGCTCACGCTGGGAGCTGTAGACCGGAGCTGTTCCTATTCGGCCATCTTGGCTCCTCCCTATTTTTTATTTTTTTATTTTTTGAGACAGAGTCTCGCTCTGTCACCCAGGCTGGAGTGCAATGGCACAATCTCGGCTCACCGCAACCTCCAACTCCCGGGTTCAAGTGATTCTCCTGCCTCAGCCTCCCGAGTAGCTGGGATTACAGGCACGCGCCACCATGCCCAACTAATTTTTATATTTTTAGTAGAGAGGGGTTTCACCATGTTGGTCAGGCTGGTCTCGGTGATCCACCCACTTCAGCCTCCCAAAGTGCTGGGATTACAAGCGTGAGCCACCACATCTGGCTGACAACCTGGTTTTAATGAAACCATACTAATCTTACACAAACATCCATGTGTTTAGGAAGCTTAGCTAATACCAAGAAGGGATGATCAGGAAGTCCCCAGAATTGGGTTTAAACCAAAAAACAAAGGCTAAGGAGTTTGTGGACTGACTAGGCATTCACAGCATTTCTAAGTATCACTGAATGTGAGGTGGTATCATCTTCCACCTAGAAATCGAAGAAAAAGTGTAGGAAAGCGAAAATGCCCACTACCGACAAAGACGTGGAGAAACAAGTGCTCCCATACTTAGATGATGGGAATGAAATAAGAAGTGGTCACAAGCATTTTGGATAAAATTTAACACATTTATATATGAAGATACTTGAAAACGTTCAAACTTTAATCCAGTAATTTTACTTTATCATAAGGAAATAATGTTGGAATTGAGAGGAAAAGTTGTTTTGGAGGGGGGACGTTGCTGTCTAACAACAGAGAACTGGTTAAATGGGATAGCTCCAAAGAACAAAATGATGCTATCCCTTAAAAACAGTACTCCAAAAAAAAAAAAAAAAAAAAAAAACTGTACAGAAGGGAACACAGTGTTAAAGGGGGGAAAAAGGAGAAAATAATGGTATATGATTTAATATTTTAAAAACTATTTTTAAAACCATGTAAGAAAGAGAAAAAAGCAAGAAGAAAACTAAAATGTTAAGTATCTCAAGGTAATGGGGTGTATATTTTTTTTTCTTTCTATATTTTCCAAATTGTAACCATCACCTATATACCTGGGAGGTGGCAGAGAAAGGAGATAGCAGACAATCCCACCACCACCACCTTTCAAAAATATGACAGCAAACTCCCTATCAACCAAAGTAAACAAAGTAGTTAGAAATCTGCTAAGAGCCTCCCCCAGTGTTTTCTGCCCTTTTATAGTAATATGACTCAAAGTGATGGAAATTAGTCCATAGCAACACTGCCAGGATCATGGACCATTTTTTTCACCTTGTATTATATTAGCTTCATAAAAGTCAATTTTGCGAAGTGAATGAAAATTGAGTGGTATAATGAGGCCTTATATCCACTTAGGTCTTTTTCAGATAACAAAGTAAAGTTTTTCCTGGTTTATATACTGAATTCTAACATTCTCCTTGTAAACTTTAAAACTTTCCCAGAATAGTAAAGACATCAATAGTAATCTTTATCACCAGTAAGCTACTACTGAATGATGCTCTAAGAGGGAATTCAGTAGAATTCTCCCGTATTTTACAAACCACTTTCTGCATAAAAAATGTTTCAGCTATCCTCAAACTGAATCGACTTTTTTTTTTTTAAGATTTGCAGAGAGGCATGAACAGAGCTCATTAGGAAAATAATGGGGTAAAAAGATAATCCAAAATAAATATGTTAGCTTGCATTTTTCCCCTCATTGAAGGAAAAATACATTTTTATAGAAGATAAAGTGGGCAGGATTTTGCAGCCAAAATAAACTATAGAGTTAGGCTAAGTTAGGAATGAGGTTAGAATTGAGTTGAAATAGCTAAAAGAGAAAGCTATTTTCCATTGTTCTTAGACTAAAATACGTATTCTTCTAAAAAAAAAGAAATGAGAACTAATCTGGTATGTAACATTCAACACCCAAAAAAATAGAATCCCAGTGTTGGAAAGTGCCTCTCATCTAAACAGCCTCCCAATGAAATTAGGCATCTTTTTCATACACCAAATCCCAGATCTGCACAACTACAGCAACTCTTCATTTGGGTACGTAACTGTACCACTGTTGACATTTCTTTCGCCTGAACCTCTCCAAATAAATAAAAACACGTAAGCACACAACTCTATCTTTCAGATTATATCGTAGAGTTGATCTGCTAAAGAATCTGGTAATCATTTTTTTACCATCTAATTGAGTTTCATATTGCCTACAAGCAAGAATATTGTAAAATGTAAACCACTTTAAAATGTTTTAAAATATTTCAGAATTTAGGATTTTTACTTACATCTTGAAGTTACTACCTAAAAGCTGGGAAGAGTTGACTTTAGGACCACCAACACAAATCAGCTAAACACTAAGGGGCAAGGTAACCAGCACCTCATCACCTGACCACTCCTTCACCTCAAAGCTTTTATATCCACTCTCCATTTAATACCTCTTTGATTTTCCTATTAACTCAAGATAGTAAAGCAATATTTGAAGCTTGGTATATATAAGACACTCTGCTAAGTTCTTCACATTGTCTTAATTCATCCTTATAAAATCTCTTTAAAGAATGTACTACCACTACCCTTGTTTTACACATGAGAAAACTGAGGTGTGGGGAGCATAAATAATTTGCCTAGAGTTACAGAGCTGGAAGAGCTAAGGTATGAATGTAAAGAGTTCAGCTCCCAGCCTTAAGTTCGTAATCACTGTACTGGGATAATCAAAGGGATATTTTAGATTTTCCTGATACACCTTGTTCCTCAATTTATAGCAAATCAGGCTTCTAAACAATGTTATAATGTTGCTTGCCCTAGAGTGAGCATGATCCTGTACACCATCACTGTGAATGTCTGAGAAGTAATACATTTATGGTTATTCCATTCTCTGGAATCACAATGCAGCAGCGATTATTTTTAAAATGCTAACTGATTATGCACTAACTATGACCTTTATCTCTCATTATCACCAGAACAACCTACAGCCGCTTACCAACTTGATAAGGAAAAGAGAAAAGTGATGATGATGATCTGGCCTGGTCCTGGGGCAACAGATAAAAGCTAAAAACACAGGTTCTAAAAGCATGTGTGGATTTGAATGTGGGATCTTTTCATTTGTTAGCTCTTTGACCTAGTACAAGTATTTAAACCCTCAAAGCCTTGCTTTTTCACCTGCAAAATGTGGATAACAACAGCACTACTCACACAGGTATTATAAATATTAGGCCAATGTACATAAGGCCAGCAAGCATGACGCCCCGTATATGGTAGGTATTCAAATGCTAGTTGTTATACACAATTAGGATAAGAATGAAGAAGGCCAAAGAGTAACTGTCTGACATGTTAGAACAAAAGGCAGAAACGCTACCAAGACCCACAGTATCACTCCAACCACAAGAGTAGGAATGACTAAAACTTCAAGACAGCTTAGCTGTACAGGTGGTTCAGTGAAGTACAACATATAGCCTTTAAGAAACAAACCCACCGCCAGCCACTAGCATTCCAATCACTCACATCCCCCTGATGGGAAGATTAAGTCACATAATCTCTCTCTACAATTGAAGAGAAAGTGTCAGCTTATTTCTATTCAGCTAACAGTGTTTACAACTTCAACTAATTTCTAAATGCTTAGGAAAGACAAGTTAACTAACTAAATTTTTACTACTATAAGGCAGAAAATAACTTGAAAGTAGGAGCCAGTAAAACACTGCCAAGAAGAGGTTGTATTCAACCTGCTACAATGATTAAGACATGTAATTAGCCCATTATAGTAAACAATGGTGCCCTTATTAAGGGTAAACTTTACCTCAGTGTGCCTCCAAAATACAGATTTAAATTACAGGCTCCATATTAATGAGACTTTACAGAATATGACGAGGCATTCTATTAAATACAGAAGTTTAGTCCAAAAGATATGCAAATAAATGAAGGCTACTTTACTACATTCTACAATTAATTCCAAGACAGACTGAATTTACTTCCACATTGGACATTCTGCCTAAATCCATTAAAGATTACATTCACAGATCTACTAACTAAACATGGTGAATCAGCCAACAGGCACCCAAGTTCCATTATTCCCACTTCAGAGTAAAGTGCAGGGGAAAATGCAAGGGAATATTCAAAAGATAAAAACAAACATGCTTTGGAGAACTAAAGAAATAAAAGATTATCCTTGATAGCATAAATCCCAGTGCATATCAGCATCACAGATTCCTGCGCCACCCTACACCTACTGAATTAAAATCTCGCCAGGATATTCTCATCCAGAGCCAGGACTGAGAATAGCCTCCCTGTTATAACTATGCAGATTTGTGCTCTCTTCCCCACTCTGAACAGCCAATGGTTTGGTTTTTGGTTGGCTGGTTGGTTGGCTGGTTGAACTATGGCCTTGTGGCACTTATCATACTCACCAATTATGTGCACACTTTAACTCCCAAACCGAATCCTAAATTTCCTGAAGGCCAGAGGGAGGTTACTATTTTCTTAGGCACCTAGGACCAAATCATGTCAACAAAGAGTACTATAGTAGATATTCAACTAATACAGAAAATTAGTCCAATCAAGATAGAATTTTAAGAAATAGTTTAGGGAATCGCTTCCCTTGCTGCACAGAGGTAGTCAGGCCTCTCTCTGACTCTTCCCTACCCTGAAAAACAGCTCCCAGATGGACCATTAGTCTTGCACGAGAGAAATGAAAGGAGATTATCTGAGAAAACTGCTAGAAGTAATACATGATTCCAAATTAGGAACTCAAGATAATTAAGAACTCAAGAAAATATGCCAGGGAAAACAGATAGGGGGCCCAAGAGGTGTAAAAGTAAATAATTAGGTAGAAAAATGGTAGTAGTTAGGCCATTCTAAATAAGAGAGTAATATCATTTGTCTTTTGTGGTCATAAAAGTCAAACAAGATCTTTTCAGTCAAGATTTTGAATTCGAATTCCAGCTTCACTAGCTATATAACATTACTTTATGCATGTACCACAGTTTCTTCATCTGTAAGTGGGGTAAGAACACCACTATAAGGTAAGGAAAAACAAAATCTACATTGTAAAGCACTTGTTCATTGTCTGGCACATCTTAAGTGTTCAATAAAGATTAGTTCCCTTCCTCTCCAGGTGGAAACTCAGAAGGTAAGATAATGAAAATAATGATTATCTGGTAGAAAAGTAGTGGATGGTCATTCCAATACCATTTTTAACTGTGTGCTTTCTCAGGGGTATTTTTGTTTTTCCTGTAGACAACCCACAGCACTACCGACAGCTACCATCTCTGATATGCAAGATCACCAGAAAGCCAAACGTGAGTGTAAGGCCAAGAAATTTTATATGTCCTTGTTAGAAACAAGACATTAGTAGCATGGGTACAAACCCACAAATGATCATTTAAACCCCCAGCCACTTTGAAAAACAAGGAGAAAATGTATTCTGAGGCTTCAGGCCAAACTTGGCAAGAAGTCTGGGAAACAGCTTCCAGCCTTCACAGCTTTAAATAAGGGTAAGGCCAGGCGAGGTGGCTCATGCCTGTAATCCCAGCACTTTGGGAGGCCGAGGCAGGCAGATCACCTAAGGTGGAGGGTTTGAGACCAGCCTGACCAACATGGAGAAACCCCACCTCTATTAAAAATACAAAATTAGCCAGGTGTGGTGGCGCATGCCTGTAATCCCAGCTGCTTGGGAGGCTGAGGCAGGAGAATCACTTGAACCCAGGAGGCGGAGGTTGCGGTGAGCCAAGATCGCACCATTGCACTCCAGCCTGGGCAACAAGAGCAAAACTCTGTCTCAATCAATCAGTCAATAAAGGTACCATGGCCTGATCATGCCTAGGAAAGTAAAGGTGTCACTGTGATCTTTATACAGGAGGAAAAGCAAGAGAATTACATTAAGAAAAACAGGCAAAAAACCAGACTTGTTCATGTGGCCAGGAAGAACACTTGAAGTCAGGTACAGTGAGTACCTGGAGAACCTGGTGGGAGATTCTGGTTTCAAATAGTTCTCAGGAGTGTAAGTTGGACAGTAAGCTCCAGTTCATCAATGTTCCTCTGAAAACTGGTGATCCAGGACTAACCACATTTGATACTTCAAATATTCTGCTGTTGTTGCCTTCTCTAACAGGCTACCCCTTTCTCCTTGTTTTGACATACTTTTATTATTGTAATTCAAGATCAACTTAGCAACTCTGACAGCCATGTCACTTATGACTAACATAAGCTTATTATGGTCAACTAAAAGCTCCACTTAAACCAAGACTTCCTTCATCTATATTTCCATAACTGGTTTTGTAGACCCAAATGCAGGTCCTTAGAATTAATTCTATAATTGGCCTCATCAGAGTTGCCTCTTTGGCCCTCAAATTCCTCATCAATAAAATGAACAAATTTGACAAGATACTTTCAACGGTTTCTTCCAGTTTTAAAACTACAGTCTAGCATTTACCAAACATACATGGTTAATGTTTTACTTTTAAAGCGTGTGTGTGCGCACACACACACAACTACAAACTTGCCTAGAGGAGTCGATAGACTTGCATACTACTCATACTCCCATCATAAAAGTGCTCTATCAAGCGTTTAGGATTACACAGGCCTCTCAAAACATCATGTACTAGGAGAAGGAAGGAGAAAAAAAAATCTCAAAATTTCTAGTAACTAGTGTTGTTTATTCCCATGAAAGCAGAATACAGGCAGAAGACCTGGACAAATTAAGAGCAAGGTTTCAATTCTTATAAACCAGAAAACAATACTAAGGCCGGGCGCGGTGGCTCACGCTTGTAATCCCAGCACTTTGGGAGGCCGAGGCGGGCGGATCACAAGGACATGAGATCGAGACCGTCCTAGCTAACACGGTGAAACCCCGTCTCTACTAAAAATACAAAAAATTAGCCGGGCGTGGTGGTGGGCGCCTGTAGTCCCAGCTATTCGGGAGGCTGAGGCAGGAGAATGGCGTGAACCCAGGAGGTAGAGTTTGCAGTGAGCCGAGATGGCGCCACTGCACTCCAGCCCCGGTGACAGTGTGAGACTCCGTCCCCAAAAAAAAAAAAAAAAACAAAACAAAACAATACTAAGGAGGTTGTGTGGAAACAGTACTTCAGACACATACAACTTAAAATCTCTAGTCAACACAACTACATACCAATGATGGCCACAAGAATTACATGGAAATAATTCTTTAGAGATGTTTATGAAGGAAAGGATATCATCAGAAAATACATTGCACTGCACTGTCTTTTAAAAAACATTGCAGACAGAGAGATAGGGTAGTGGCTAGAATCTCTCTGTACTTAGGATCTTAAATGACAAAGTAACTGAGTAGAAACTGTGCTAGACAAATAAACCTCAACAACTATCACATACCATCTTCCAACAAGTTTTTCCTGAATGACACTGAGAACTAAGAATATTTTCTCTCATTTACATTTTTATGATCATTTGGTTTTCTTTATAAGACCACATGTGAAAATACACTTTAAATATGCGCAATTGTCAGTTATAACCCAAAAAAAAACAAAAAAACAAAAACTTATCCACAGACTGTGCTACCTCAATATTCAGGTGAATCTGCATACACACAAACTCATTCTCTTAGATTTCTACCTATTTTTGTTTTAGATGATCCTAGACAGTAATCACAGAGCCCACTAAACAGTAAAGGCTCACTCGCACAATGGGAGATGACTGAGTTCTTGCCCCAGTGGCTGAACACTGCTTCTTTGTCAACTTTCCTAATTAGCACTTGGCTTATTAATTCAAGGTCTCGTAATACAGTGACACCTTACATTTAGACTAAGTGAGGGACCCATTAGTATTAATGACTAAACCAATATAAAATATTTTAAAGAAGATTTCCATAACATGAATCCTGATTAAGAGCCAAAACTGGATATTATAGAATGAACCAAGGATTATCCTATACAAAGTTCGTCTGGATGAATTAGTCCTTCACCAATACTGCCATTGCTCAAGTATTTTTGGAGCTTCTTTTTCACAAGAATCTTCAAAAATAGCATTAGAAAGGCATTACTTTATAGATGTCTCTTATTTTCTCTCTTCACATAAAACAAATACTTCGCAATCTGATAATGACTCTTTTTTTTTTTAAACCGATCTTGTTTCTGAGTATCTTTTGGGCTATTTTTAAAAACCAAAAACCTCATCTGCTCAAGGAAATTTATCTACCCCACAATTAACAACAGTACTTTCAAAAAAGTCTTGCCCTAACTCCCACAGTAATGCAAAGAGGATAATTAAGTCCTAACTGAGGTAAGTTCTTTTTTTTTTTTTTTTTTGAGACAGAGTCTCACTCTGTCGCCCAGGCTGGAGTGCAGTGGCACAATCTCAACTCACTGCAATGTCCACCTCCTGGGTTCAAGTGATTCTCCTGCCTCAGCCTCCCGAGTAGATGGGATTACAGGCACGTGCCACCACATCGGCTGATTTTTTATATTTTTGGTAGAGAAGAGGTTTCACCATGTTGGCCAGGCTAGTCTTGAACTCCTGACCTCAAGTGATCTGCCCACCTTGGCCTCCCAAAGTGCTGGGATTACAGGTGTGAGCCACCAGGACCAGCCTCTAGTATAAGTTCTTAGAGGAATCTTAAAATGAAAAAATTAGTTTGACATTCCCAAAACTGTTTTCCAAGAACCAAAAGGCTTTATCTTATATAAACACACCTAGAAAACTGTAATTTAAAACCAGGCTTTTTATACATAACAAAAAGGTAATCTCAATAAAAATAAATAATAAACCTGAATACAGGCATATCTCATTTTAATGCATTTCACTTTATTACACTTCAAAGATAGAGATTTTTAACAAATTGAAGGTCTGTGGCAACCCTACATCAAGCAAGTCTATCAGCACCATTTTTCCAAAACACATGTGGCTCACTTCATGCCTCTGTGTCACGTTTTGGTAATGCTCACAATATTTCGAACATCTTCATTATTATATCTGTTATGGTAATCTGTGATCATTGATCTTTTATGTTTTTTATTTTACTATTGTAATTGTTTTAGGGCACCACCAACTGTGCCCACAGAAGACAGCAAACTAAATAAATGTTGTGTATGTTCTAACTGCTCCACCAACTTGCTGCTACCCCATCTCTCTCCCTCTTCTTGAGTCTCCCTATTCCCTGAGACACAGTAATATTGAAATGAGACCAATGAATAACCCCATGATGGCTTCTAAGTGTTCAAGTGAAAGGAAGAATCACACATCTCTCACTTTAACTCAAAAGCTAGAAATAATTAAGGTTAGCAAGGAAGGCATGTCAAAAGCTGAGACAGGCAGAAAGCTAGGCCTCTTGCAACAAACAGCCAAGTTGTGAATGCAAAGGAACAGTTCTTGCGGGAAATTACAAGTGTTATTCCAGTGAGCACATAAATAATAAGAAAGCACAATAGCCTTATTACTATTAACAAATTAACAATATGAAAGCTTGAGTGGTCTGGATAGAAGATCAAGCCAGCCACAACGTTCCCTTAAACCAAAGGCCAATCCAGAGTAAGGCCCTAAATAATCTCTTCAGTTCTATGAAGGCTGAGACAGGTGAAGAAGCTGCAGAAGAAAAGCTAGCAAGCTAGCAGAGCATTGGTTCATGAGGTTTAAGGACAAGAAGCTATCTCCATAACATAAAAGTGCACTACAAACAAGCAAGTGCTGACACAGAAGCTGCAGGAAGTTATCCAGACAATCTAGACAAATGATGAAAGTAGCTACACTAAACAACAGATTTTCAATGTAGACAAAACAGCCTTATACTGGAAGAAGACACCATCTAGGACTTCCATAGCTAGAGAGGGAAAGTCAAAGCCTGGCTTCAAAACCTCAAAGGACAAGCTGACTCTCTTGTTAGGGGCTAATGCAGCTGATGACTTTAAGTTGAAGCCAATGCTCACTTACCATTCTAAAAATTCTAGAGCCCATAAGAATTATGCTAAGTCTACTCTGTGTTTCCGTAACTAGAACAAAGCCTGGACAGAACATCTGTTTATAGCATGGTTTAATATTTTAAGGTCACTGTTGTGACCTACTGCCCAGAAAAAAAAGACTCCTGCTCACTCACAATGCACCTGGGTCACCCAAGAGCTATGATGGAGATGAACAAGGAGGTTAATGTTGTTTTCATGCCTGCTAACACACTTGCTTTCTTCAGCCCACTGACCCAGAAGTAAGTTTGACTTTCAAGTCTTATGATTTAAGAAACTAATTTCATAATCCTAGACCTGCCATCCATCCTCTGATGAATCTGGGCAAAGCCAACTGAAAACCTTCTGCAAAGGATTCACCATTCTAGATGCCATTAAGAACATTCACAATTCAGGGGAGAACATCAAAATATCAACATTAACAGGAGTTTTGGAAGAAGCTGATTCCAGCCCTGATGGATGACTTGGAGGGGTTCCAGACTTCAATGGGAGAAGTCACTGGACATGTGGTGGAAACAGCAAGAGAATTAGAATTGGAAGTGGAGCCTGAAGATATGACTGAATTCCTGCAATCTCATGATAAAACTTGAACAGATGGCAGGTTGCTTCTTAAGGAATGAGCAAAGAAAGTGGCTTCTAGACATGGAATCTACTCTTGGTGCAGATGCTGTGCATTGTTGAAATGACAACAAAGGATTTACAGTATTACATAAAGTTAGTTGATCAACTAGCAGCAGGGTTGGAGAGGAGTGACTCCAATTTTGAAATGAGTTTCTACTGTGGGCAAAATGCTATCCAACAGCATCACATGTTACAAAGAAATCTTTTGTCAAGGAGAGTCAATCAATGCAGCAAACTTCACTGTTGTCTTATTTTAAGAAATTGCCTAAGCTGCTCCAATCCTCAGCAACCACCACCTGATCAGTTAGCAGCCATCCACATCAAGGCAAGACCATCCAGCAAAAAGATCACGACTTGTTGAAGGTTCACATGATTGTTAGCATTTTTTAGCAATATTTTTCAATTAAGGGATGTACAGTTTTAGATGCAATGCTATCACACACTTACTAGACTACAGCATAGTATAAACAAAACATATGCACCGGGAAACAAAAAACATGTGTGACTTGCTTTATCGCAATGTTCACTTTATTCCAGTAGTCTGAAACCAAACCCACAATATCTCTGAAGCATGCCTGCAGATTAATATTGTACTATATTCAAATAGGTCACTTCTATACTGGCCATGCAACTGTTTTTCACAACCAGAAAATATCATATTAATAAGTCACCTATTTTACTGCAGAACATCTGCATTGCTGAGATGGGTTTGCTGCCAAAATAAGAAACTGTACACTAACAGCAACTCCTATTCACAAGAGAGTTGGATTGGTTTTTCTTTCCTAATTTAAAATCATATGCAGGTATGCACAGAGAAGGATGCAACACCTCATTTGGTTTGGTTTGGTTAGGGTAGGGTAAACAAGGTAAGTTCTTTCTTAAACTGCTCCATTATTAAAACAAAACAAAAAACCTCTGTTCAAATTATGAGAAAAGTCCAAACTAACCAATTACATTACTTCCTTAAAGATTAGTCAAAATGGTGCATAACTTGAAAACTGAACAGAGTACTTCCCCAACATAAGGACAAAGTTTTCTCAGGGCTCCAAGCCTTTCCTCCCCTTTTCCCTGCTAACTCTTCCTCATCTTACAGAACATGATCATGTAACCATCATCTCCTTCATGAAACAATCCCCTAATTCTCTCAACTCACTCTAAACTGGGTCAGGTAGCCTTCCTCTCTGCTCTCTAATGCACACCTCAAATCTCGTAACAGCACCCCCATACTGTAATTGTTGGTTTCCTAGTATGTCCTCTCCTACCAACATATAAGCTCTCTAAAGGTCCTAAATACGTACATACCCAGGACCAGACATACTAGTTGGTACATGGTAATTATTCAAATGACTCTGGATAAATCCCTGCCAAGAGAGATCATGATAGAGCCCACCATCATCTGTACTATTCACATCAATGCTCTATTTACAGTAACAAAGACCTTTGGAATGCTGACATATACTGAAGCACCTACTTAAGTGCCAGGCAGTGAGTTTTAGGTACTGGATATATGAGAGATAGAGTATAGACCTCCCTTATGGAGCACGAATGGTGACATTATAAACCAAATTGCAAATGTTCCTTATGCAACATGGTGGAAATGCAGTTAACAATGCATACACACCGAAAAACAGCACATGGGAAAATAAACTTTTAGTAGAAAATGAAAAACAATAATAAGTCTACAAAGTAGAAAGTCCCTTCTGTCGCCTTTCTTGGACCTGTGAAAGATTGTAACTCATTAACAGAGGAGGAAGGGCCTTTGCTTCTTCCAATTATATTATGAAAATCTGGACAAGAGTGAATATTAGAGAGAAGGGCAAAGAAAAAAAAAGATACAAAGTTGAGAGTGTGCACAGGCGCGCGCGCACACGCGCACACACAAACCCATCAAAACATTTGCTACTGTCCTGCAACCTCTCAAATCAAATATTGGGCTTTCATTCTGACAGTGACAGAAATGATCAAATGTTTCCTGCCATTTATTCCACTTCCTGTGCTCTAATTCAAGCCCCTTTAATATCCTTCTCAAAAACGCCAGGAGAGCCAGTGAAGACTTTCTCAATACAGCAAATAACCAGAGAGGGAGAATTATTCAGTTAGGAAGAGTAAGGGAGTAAGAGACCCACTCCAGCTGTTCCACAAGTTCAAATGTGCAGATAAGCTTCCATCTATTTTTAGTTTTTGCCTTGCTCACCCTTTAAGAATGACTAGTGCACCACAAGAACTCTAAAGCAACATTCTCCCTTAATTTATTCTAATTATATGTGCCTTGGACTGTTTTGACACCTGGAGATTTCACAAAATAGTTGCTTGTTTTCTCTGAGACTGTCACCATTTTCTAAAACTTGAGAAACTAGGCATGAAACAAAATCACCGCCTGCATTTCTAAGTCATCATCCATCTATACCTTTGTTTAATAAAAGTCTATATATTGGAAATAGTTCTCAGACCTTCACATAATTCAACTGTCCTAATCTATAACTAGGAATGAACCACACTCCTTAAAATGCAGAATTCCGATTTTTTTTTTAGAGAGACACGGTCTTGCCATGTTGCCCAGTCTGGCCTCAAACTCCTGGACTTAAGCAATCCTCCTACTTCAGCCTGTTAAGTATTCTCATTTTTAATGTAGTCCTTTTAAATTTTTTCCAATGAAAAAGTAATAGCCCACATTTAAGAAAATATTGGGGGAAATTCTCTTTCAATATTTCAGCTTCCTTTCCTTATAATTCCATCCCATTCAGATAATTTCCCTTACATAAAATAGCTAGCTCTTGACCTCCTTCGAAAATGGTCCCCACACTTTTACCCTTAGCAAAATTTTCTGGCATTATTCTCTGGTGAAATAAAGTACTCTTCCTCCTAATCCCAATTAGGGTAAGAGTTTTAAGTATCAACTTTCAATGAGTATTTGTCTTTTCTGTCTCATGGTATGGTCAACTAATTGCTTCATATTGAATAAAAACATAATCAGAATCATACCATACCCTGCATCCATTCTTTTCAAGCAGGAAAGATAAGAAATCAACTCCAAAGATGAATGAACAGACTGGGCTAGGGAAGCCATCAATCCTATCCAAAGTCATGGGCCAGATATCCCAAGAAGCTGTTTTGCAGCTCAGCAGACAAAAGAAGTGACAACAGTCTACGTCTTGAAGCCATCGCTGCTCTATCAGAATACTGTTAAAAGAGTCAGATTAAAAAAAAAAAGGCCGGGCGCGGTGGCTCACGCCTGTAATCCCAGCACTTTGGGAGGCCGAGGCGGGCGGATCACGAGGTCAGGAGATCGAGACCATCCCGGCTAAAGCGGTGAAACCCCGTCTCTACTAAAAATACAAAAAATTAGCCGGGCGTAGTGGCGGGCGCCTGTAGTCCCAGCTACTTGGGAGGCTGAGGCAGGAGAATGGTGTGAACCCGGGAGGCGGAGCTTGCAGTGAGCTGAGATCCCGCCACTGCACTCCAGCCTGGGCAACAGAGCGAGACTCCGTCTCAAAAAAAAAAAAAAAAAAAAAAAACAAGAGTCAGATTCAGACACTTAAGCCTTCTAGAAATGACAGATGAATATGAAAGGTGTGCCTTCTTTCTCTCACCCTCTTCACTCTTTACAGCCTTACAGAGAAAATGAGGTACACAATTTCCCTTCTCTGTGCCCTACTTATCCTTAGATATTGACATTTATCAACAGAATAGATTACATACATATGTTGATTACTGACAAAAGGCATATACTATCTTTCAAGCTTTTTAAAAAAAGCTGTCATTATTTTGAAATGAGACATAAATACTGGTTAACCATCTCTCTACATTCCCTCTCCATCCCCCAACAAAAAAACTCACTAAACTTGGAAAATTTTTTATTCTCCCTCCTCAACCCAAAAACTAGAATACCAAGAATCTTTCACTCTTAAATGATTAGGCAACTATATTTTCATCTATCTTGCAACTAAGCAATCCTATACATAAAAATATCCGGGTCAACAGTGACATACAATTGTTTTCCAGAATGATACACAATGTATCAGCGGCCACGTTACTTGTATGACTAAGCTCAGTCCAAAATGCAGATCAAGTTCATCAGTATGATCGGTGAGTCTTTACCAGGAATAGAAATGGGGCAACATAATGGCAACTCACAGAGTATCAAAAGGAGAGCATTTTATAAAGTGGCCCTGAGGCTGCCATAATTAAATCTCTCAGAACCACGCATTCTTTTAATGCATACAAAGAAGTTTGCAAAGTACTTGCAAAGAAGTTTGAAAATTTTACAAATCCTATGATGATATGATACAAAGATTATACTTAAAGCAAACAGTGTCCACTGTGGAATGTTCAAAAATATACAAAGACTCTTCCCATCACCACCAAATTTTTCTGGAAATAATGGTTCTAATTAATGGTTCTGGAAATAATGGCTCTAATTAAACCCTTAAGGGTGGCATCCTTGAGCACAGAATCCATTTCTTATTTTAACATCTGAACATCTAAACAATGCCCAGCACACAGCAGGTACTATAAGCAGACTGCTGAATTTAATTATCTATACTTAAACCCATGTACAATATTTCAACTGTCTCCTTTTTGTGGTTAAAGTGGTCTTAGCCACTTGTGGTCTTTATTATTAATGATAACTATGCGATTGATTCCTTATCTCTAGACTAAATGCAATTATTTGCCTTTTAAATGCTACTTAAATATTTTATTTTAACCTACATCATCTCCTGTTCAGAGAAGTAAAAATTGTAAATATGGGAAAGACAACCAAATATTTGCATTATGACAAGGCTACTTTATCACTTTTTGTCATGACTGATTTTATTAAACTAGTGGCTATAATTATATGCTACAAGCTTAAATAATTCAACAACATGCAAAACCGAAGTCTTGGTTTCTTTACCGCTTATAGTACTGGCCACTGCACAGGTATCAGGGCTACACAATCCCATTATAGAGCCACCAGCCACATCTCAATTTGGGTTAGCCACATTTCAACTTGAAGAAATGTGGCCAGCCTGAACTGAGATGTGCTATACATCTAAAATACACACACTGACTTTGAAGATGGTACAAAAGGCCAGGCATGGTGGCTCACCCCTGTAATCCCAGCACTTTGGGAGGCCAAGATGGGAAGATCGTCTGAAGCCCAGGAGTTAGAGACCTGCCTGGGCAACAAAGTGAGACCCTGTCTATACAAAACAAAATATAAAATAATTAGACAGGCATGGTGGCGCACGCCTGTAGTCCCAGCTACTCGGGAGGCTGAGGCAGGAGGGTCCCTTGAGCCCAGGAGATTGAGACTGCAGTGACCTATGATCCTGCCACTGCACTCCAGCCTGGGCAACAGGGACAGACCCTATCTCAGAATAATAATAATAATAATAATAATGATAATAATAATAATAATAAATAATGAAGATGGTACAAAAAGAATGTAAAAATGTAAAATATCTCAATTTTATAATTACGTCAAAATGAACTTTTATATATTGAATTAAAATATTAAAATAAACTTCTCCTTTAATGTAGCAACTAGGAAATTTTAAATTACCTAGTGGCTGATATTATACTTCTACTGGACAGTACTGGACTGGAGCCAGACAAATCTAGGTTCAATTACCAGTACTAATAACTTCCTTGGTTTTGTGCTGCCTGATCAGCTGCTTAATACATAAGCTGCATTTCTCCATCTGTAAAACTAGAATAATGTCGCCTTCTTCACTGGCTCCTGGTGAGGATAAATGAGCACTTAGAACGTAATGGTTGGAATACAGCAGAAAATGGCAAAATGACAGTCATGTTTAATCGGCAAAAGAAAGATTTCAAACTTTGCTCTCAAATAAGTATCTCACAAAGTTTATCAATGGGCTAACAACAGATTGTTCTTTTAACAATTCATGACTTGTCATTACATTGCAACATTTCCATTCCTAATACCCATTAATCATACTGATTAACTTGACTCTACAACCTTGACCAATACTACATTCCAGTAATTTCTGGTTAATTTTTACATAAACGAATATTTTCTAACTTAAACGCCCATTGCTCATACGCTATTTCGATTCCACCAAAAAGGACCAGTGAGTATCAGAAAGATTCCTTTGGTCATACATACCAATTTTAAATTAAGACAAAGAAAAAGCAGTGAAGTCACCCATCCCTGAAAATGAGGTTTCTAAAATCTCAAAGTCTAAAAACTACTGGAAGCTCATCTGGCACATATTAAAGAAAGCTGGCTCCTGCCTAGGATAAACTATTAATATTTCTAATATCAATCCAAAACTTAATATCAAACAATCAGAAAACAATAAAAGGCAAAGAAAAAAGTTACCTTTTGTTCCTATGCTAGCAAGCTTTTAAGGGAAACAATGCAAAAAATCAGCTGTTCAAGTTAAGCATTAATTTTCTTTTGGAAAGGAATGAAACAAAGACAAACTAGTGAATAAAAATCCCGTATTTCATTTTGAAGCATAACACATTTATATTACTCTAATATATCAAACTCCACCAAATAACAAATGTCAATCCTATAATCATTTGTGGACAGCCGAGCTTACACATTACAGAACAATTTTAAGAACCCCAAATGTGTAAGAACCTCCAAAATTTGCTACCTTTAATGGGCAGGGAAAAGGAGAAATGAACCATGATAGGGAAACTATGGCCTTGCTGAAGAGTGGAATGGAGTGAACATACTGGTTTTCAGATGGGTCAGTTTTCAGCAGAATTCTGACCTTAACACTATCTCTGACATTCAAACACACACCAAAATTCCATAATCATAATAGATGTGATTCAATACTTAACACACCCTGCAAGTTAAAGCAAATTATGCAGCTTCTCTCAAATTTCCTTTTGCCCACTAAAAACTAGTTAGCCATGGAAGAAATTAAGTACCTGAGACATACTCATTGACCACTGGAGTCCCAAAAATTATCGTAGCTACCAGTCATGTCCACGGGAATTAGTGCGTAGAGGTATAAAATATGACTTTACATTAATGAAACTGATCATTTCTAAAGTGGCTTACCAGCAGGGAGGAAAAAAACCAGACTTAACAAAAGCACCAGTCCACCACAGTACCTGGCTACCCACAACTGAGTCTTGAACAAAATGTTACTCAAGCTGTTCACATAGTAGCCCCACTCCCAAGAAAGTACTGAAACAGGACATCTTTTATTTTTTAACTCCTTCCCCAAGAACCTGGCACAGTGCTAAACATAAACTGCACAATGAATAGAGGTATTTAACTAAATATTATGTGTCCATTTATGCAAATACATAGTACAATAAACTCTACAATTATAAAAGAGTAACCTATTCTTTAATGCTCTCAAAATTTTAGAATGTCCTTCCCTCCTTGACTCCTCAAAGCAAATATAGTTGCTCCATCCTTCTGTGCTCCCATCTCACTTCATTCGAATCTTCCCATTGACATTTACCATACTGACTCATTATTCTTCTATTTACAAATCTGCCTTGATCCATGAAAACTGAGCTCTAGGGGTTATGCGTACTGAACCACCAGGCTTTAAGTGCACCAGCTCTCTCATAAACCTCCCATTATTTTTTAAAAGATAATCATCAATATACACATCTCATTTTTTTTATTAGCACAAACACATTTATTTATTAACCAAAGGGATGATCCTAATTAATCCAACACACTTTGAAATAGCTGTATGTAAAATGTTTGGGATAAAGATAATTGAACACAGTAATGAAAAAAAAAAAAAAAGAAACGGTATGGAGATTTGCTCATTGAACTGAGCTTGGTCATTCTCTTAGTTAACTCCTGTCCAAAGTGATGATGGAATTTTTATTCTACTTTTTCATAGATCCGAGTACAGGTGACACTGTTCATGACACAGTCCACCACTAATTTCCCATCTTTCAATTTTCTTCTTATTGTGTTTTCCTTCCCATCCCACTCCTGATGTTGAACCAATGCACCATCTGTAAAGTTGCACACAGTCTGAGTTTTTCTGCCATCAGCTGTGGTTTCTTCAAACTTCTCTCCCAGGGTACAAGAAAACTGTGTTGTTTTCAAAGTGCTCTCGGTTTTTATGGTGAGGTTTTTGCCATCACAAGTGATGATACAATCTGGCTTGGCTATTGTGTCCATTTTTCGCAAAGCTATTCCCACTCCTAGCTCCTTCACATATTCATCAAAGCCTCTGCTGTCCACCAGGCGCCATCTTCCTTCCAGCTGCTGAACTGTGGCCATGAGGGGTGCGGGCGAGCTGGCGTGCAGAGCGGGGTCTGCGTCGGCGTGGCAGCGTGCTGTCACATCTCATTTTTTTTTAAAGGTATTTCCCTCTGAAACTCCTGGGATGCTGTTACTAATTATAGAAAAATTATGAATTTTCAGAGTAACTTCACTACCACCCCAAACCTGAGAGCAAAATTTAAGAAACAAACCACTCCAACATAGAAAACCCAACCAAAACAGTTGACAGGTCACACTTTCTCACATTCTGAAGTTACACTTAGGTGATTTTCTCCCATCCTAAAGCACCAATTGCATATAACAATCCCAGAATCCATTTTAGAAAACAGAATACTAACCCTCCTCCCAGACCATTTTAGTCACATCCAGTCATATACTTCTTTAATACAAGGCAAAGCCTAAGACAAGAGAAGGCATTAGGCAAATGTCAATGGTCTCTCCTTAAAGCTAGGACATCTCAATTTGTCATTTGCTCAAAGAGACTTTGAAAAAGAAACAAGAACAAATTAACTATTCATCTTAGAAATGCATCCACACCAGGAGAAGGCACTCTAACATAAGAATTAACAAAACATGTAGTCTACCAACTTCCTTATCTTATTTTGGAGCTCCCTCACCCTTTTCAAATTATACACATAAAGGAACACTCTGTACCTATACCATATGTATTAATACCAAGAGGATTTTTTCCCATCTTCATTCTCTATATCATCATCTAAATCTCACTACCCCTCATTTTTGTGTATGTATAGAAACCTTGTTAATTATCACCAGAATACAAAGCTATTGACTAGTTCAGAAGTGAAAAAAGAAAGCACGGTGGTCTTATTCCTCTTGGATTTTTTTTTACTGTGCTACTATTCATAAGTTCTCATTTTGTTTGTCCCTCATTTTCAAAAACCCTTCACACAATCAGCAATTCAATTCTACCACAAAACATGTATTAGAAATGAATAGGCAATCTTTACAACAGTTTAAATTTGCCCCGTCAAAGCCTGTTTACAGAATACAAATCTGAAAGACAAGTACCAATTATACACAGGCCACAATAGTGCTGAAAAAAAGGAAGACTGGTTTCAAGAGACAGTATGAACATCGGAGAAAAATCTGGGAATAACACATAAGTTAAACATGACGAAAAACCTTAAAAAGAGTTACACCTTTTTTCCTCTGCTTTTCAGGCTATAACAGGTACTCTCATTTCCATTTCCACTGAGGTGGTAAAAAAGGTTGGAGAAAACAATGAAAGTTGAATGAGTATAAAAAAGTATAATTAAAATATACATATATTCTTTAATAGAGGAGTATAATGGATAATGTAAATAAAGCTGTTCATATAAATTTCAAAATACATGTACCAAGACAATTTTAAAGTAGCTGTCTATGTAATATAAAGTTGAGTTAGTAGGGCACGTGGGATACTGTGAATATAAATGCTTCTGAGGCGCTCTCAATCAACAAACCCACCAAGCAGAAACAACTATTGTGCTAAGAATCCTAACAAGGGCCTGAGAACACACTGCGATCTCACCGTCCGGAGCTGAAACCGTGATGACACATGTTCCTGTGCAGGGTGCCTGGGTTGAGTCACTTCCCCTCTCTGAATCTCTACTTTCATGTTTGCTTTTTCAGTCACCTGATGCTTGCAGCACAATAACCCAAAAGCCAGGGGTCAGGGCAATGGTGCTATTCTCTTCACCTTCACCTGACTTCAACTCCATCCCCACTTCCTTGTCTCCCAATGGGAAAACTCCTGAAAATAACATTTTCAGACAATCTAAAGTTTCTATACCCCTGAATGAAATGAAAGAACTAGCATAAGCAACGACAACTGAACTACAGCCATCCTGAAAAATCTCTCCAACCTTGAGCTAGATTCACATACTAACTACTAGTAACCATAAGAAACTAAGCCCACAGTCTTCCAGTTACGGTCTGTTCTGAAGTTCTGAAAGAACCACCTTCTAAAGATCCAGCTCCACAAAACAGTACAAGACTACGTGACCTGGGATAAAAAGAAAACATGCGCAGGATCTTCAGCCACTGCTCAACCTTGCATCAACAATCTTCAGACAACAGCATTCTGCACTTTTCCCTAAGGATCAATTAGCAGTGCGGACACAGTGCCGACTTACAAACTTTTCTGTGAGGCAGCAGAACATCCTGATGAAAAGCGCAGGCTTTCAATTTCAACTTAAACTAAGTCTAAAACTTAGCTCTACTACTTACCTCTTAAATAAGCTTGGGCCAATTACTTGACCCGCCAGTGCCTTAGCCCCCTGATTTGTAAAACTAAGGTAATATATACGTTGCAGGATAAGATAAAGGTTAGAGGAGATAATATAGGTACGGTGTTCAGTGCAGTGTCAGGCACATATTAAGTGCCCAATAAATATAACTCAGCATTATGAAAGCAGATACTAATTATTTTCCTCTGTGTTGTTTCTATAAAGATTTTCAAATAAGAAACTAAAGTATTTCATGAGGATCAGCTTATTTCAATCCATTGTAAGCTATAATCAGTGGTTTGAAAGTTCTTGGTTGCCTGAGCTCCCTCCTTTTTACTCTTAAAAACTGAGAATCCCAAAGAGCTTTTGTTATGTGGGTTATATTTATTGGTACTTTATTGTATTAGAAATTAAAACTGAAAAATTTATAAAATATTACTTCATTTTAAAATTCCATGAACTCATTACAAATAAACATACTTTTATGAAAAATAACTATGTTTTCCAAAACAAAACAAAAATAAGAACGTGGCACTGTTTTACATTTTGGCAAATCTCTTTAATGTCTGGCTTAATAGAAGACAGCTGGATTCTCCTATCTGCTTCTGCATTCAAACGGTTACACTGTTTGGGGAAGTACATTTTTAAAATTTTGCCTCAAATAGATACCCAATTTGAAAAAGGAGTAGTATTTTAATAGTCTTTTGGGATAGTTGTTAATATTCTTTTTCCATGTTACACCAAAACTTGACAAGTGGTAGCTTCTTAAAGAGTTAGTCACAATGTGAAATCTGAAACTGTATCAATGACCGTTTTGTACTCTGTTACATTAAAAGTGACTGGTCTTTCACTTTGAATGAATCGTTTACCCAAGCATGATTTTTGCTGTAACATCATACATTGATCATTTGTGAAAATACTGGTTCCTTGAGTTATGCAGATCTTCCAAATGTAGATACATTTCATTATACAATATCAAAAATCACATTTGTTAATATCATTACTTTACTCATAAAGCTTTTAAATACTGAAAAGCTGTCAAGCTCATGGTGGCGAATACATATTTTCCAAACTTCTGATTTTCACTTGCAAACTCAAATTTTATCACTGGCAACAAAGACTCCACTACTTCCTTGAAGTAAAGGCTTGCTTTATTTTCAAGAAGGTATCTGCCAAATAACCAATTTCTGGATAACCACAGCTTATCAAAGTCCTCCCTTCAAATAAAAATGGAGTTTCATTTAAAAAAGCAGTTAGTTGGCCGGGCGCGGTGGCTCACGCCTGTAATCCCAGCACTTCAGGAGGCCGAGGCAGGCGGATCACGAGGTCAAGAGATCGAGACCACCCTGGGTAACACGGTGAAACCCTGTCTCTACGAAAGATACAAAAAATTAGCCGGGCGTGGTGGTGGGCGCCTGTAGTCCCAGCTACTCAGGAGGCTGAGGCAGGAGAATGGCGTGAACCCGGGAAGCGGAGCTTGCAGTGAGCCGAGATCGTGCCACTACACTCCAGCCTGGGGGACGGAGCAAGACTCCATCTCAAAAAAAAAAGCAGTTAGTTCACCTTAATGTCCATCACACGAGAGCTTTACCTCAAGATAACCACAATACTTCCACGTGCAGAACTCCTTTGCGCATATTTCCCTTTTCTTCCCACATTTTTAAATGTGTGCTCAAAGGTTGAGATTTAATAAAAGTAATAATGTTCACTACTTCATCACAGACATTAAGTGGAACTGGCATTATTTCTCACTCACAGTACATGACTGTAATGAATACCGTGACTACTGGAGCTCAGTTTAGTTCACTGTCGTGATTGATTCTAAGGCATCGGCAGCTTCACCCATTGTTGCTTTTGCACTATGCACTATCAGGTCAAATGTCTGCACACTATAAAAAGGTAAATAATGTTTTCATGTGTTGACCTCACAGACTCACTGAAAGAGTCTCAGGAATGTTCAATGGTCTACTGACTACACTTGGAGAACCAATGTTATAGGATCAATGAAGATCCATCAATTACCTACGTGTGTAGAACCTGTATAGAGTACAAGTCATGATTACTACTACAAGGAACTAAAGGGGACAGAACATTTTCTTAAAAACACACAAAAAGCTAACACAATACAGAGCCATTTACAATCAATTGCCCAATGAAACAGCACAGAAAATAAATGCCATAATCATTCTGAGAACGGAAAATGATCTCTATGGGCTGGACCAGCTAGAGAAGGATTCAAGGAGGAAAGGGATTTGAGTTAGGCCCTGAAAAACCAGGCAAGGTGAAGAGGTGACAGCATTCCAAGCAGAGAGCACAGCACAAGCACGTCCAGGTGACAGATGGTAAATCTGAGAGTCGCAGAAGAGAAATGGCCCACCTATCAAGCATCTTACCCCAGTCCAAGGAAGATAAAATGCCTTGACTGACACTGCCAATATACTAATGACCAGGGAAGAAAATAACTGCAAAGGGGGGTTAAGGTCAAGGTAGAAGGAGTTGGACTGCCAAGCTTAGTGTCTGAACTTGATCCTGAAAGCATCACAAAGCCCCTGAAAGGTGTTTTGGAAAGGCCAGTCCAAACAGTGTACAGGAAAATTAAGAGAAATCTGAAGCAGAAGACCTATTTTGAAGCCATTCTCATGACCCAGGTGAAAGTCGACAAGAAGGGCATGAGTAGGGAGACAGCCCCAAGACAACTACTACTGTAAGACATGGTACACAAAAGCAGGTATGAC
Source organism: Homo sapiens (assembly GCF_000001405.40). Lineage (NCBI taxonomy): Eukaryota > Metazoa > Chordata > Mammalia > Primates > Hominidae > Homo > Homo sapiens. The sequence goes on along the minus strand of NC_000015.10, from coordinate 85,410,260 downwards.
CAGACTTGCTTCTAACTGGACAGCTGGTGATGAGCGACCAGCCCGGGGAAGTCATGGTCATGATGCTTATTCTAATAACCACACCTGAGGGCCATGAAAAAGAAAGGAAGGAGACATTACTCAAAAGATACTAGGTCATAAATCATACCTAGAAAGGAAAATTCCAGAAAAAGTGAATACCAACCCTTTTTCAAATTATAAAATTATATCATACTCCTCTAAAGGAAAATGGAGGAAACTAATTTCTTCATTTGAGCTCAGTAAAGTTACTATAAAAGCAACAACCTCCCTTATAATTTAAGGTTCATTAAAAAACTACTAGCTGCATCAGGCCAGGCGCGGTGTCTCACGCCTGTAATCCCAGCACTTTGGGAGGCCGAGGCGGACGGATCATGAGGTCAGGATATAGAGACCATCCTGGCTAACACGGTGAAACCCCGTCTCTACTAAAAATACAAGAAAATTAGCAGGGTGTGGTGGTGGGCGCCTGCAGTCCCAGCTACTCGGGAGGCTGACGCAGGAGAATGGCGTGTACCCAGGAGGCGGAGCTTGCAGTGAGCCGAGATCGCACCGCTGCACTCCAGCCTGGGCGACAGACAAAGCGAGACTCTGTCTCAAAAAAAAAAAAAAAAAACTACTACTAGCTGCATCAAAGAATATAATCAACAGAGTGAAAAGGCAACCCACAGAATGGGAGAAAATTCTAGCAACTCTTATTTAATAAGAGATTAATATTTAGAATACATAAATAATTCCTACAACCAATTTAAAAAAAGGGTAATGGACCTGATAGGGTGGCTCATACCTGTAATCCCAGCACTTTGGGAGGCCGAGGCAGGCAGATCACCTGAGGTCAAGAGTTCGAGACCAGCCTAGACAACATGATGAAACCCTGTCTCCACTAAAAATACAAAAAATTAGCTGGGTGTGGTGGTGCACTCTTTCATCCCAGCTACTCAGGAGGCTGAGGCAGGAGAATCGCTTGAACCTGGGAGGCAGAGGTTCCAGTGAGCAGAGATCGTGCCTATGCACTCCAGGCTAGGCGACGAGTGAAACTCCATCTCAAAAAAATAATTAAATTAAAATAAAATAAAAATGAAAAACAGGCAAAGGATTTGAACAAATATTTCTCCAAAAAAGATATACAAATAGCCAATAACCACATAAAAAGATGCTCACATCACTAACTACTAGAAAAATGCAAATCAAAACCACAATGAGATATCACTTCACACACTATAAGATGACTACTGTCACAAAAACAGAAAATAACAAGTGTTGGTGAGGGTACAGAGAAACTGGAACACTTGTGCACTGCTGTTAGAAATGTAAAATGGTACAGCCACTATGGAAAACAGTATGGCAGCTCCTCAAAAAATTAAAAATAGAATTACCATATGATCCAGCAAGTCCACCTCTGGGTACATACGCCAAAGAACTGAAAGCAGGGACTTCGAAAGATGTCTGTACACCCATGGTCAAAGCAACATTATTCACAATAACCCATATGTGGAAACAACTCTAGTGTCCATTGGTGGATGAATGGATAAACAAAATGTGGTATATACATACAATGGAATATTATTCTGCCTTAAAAAGGAAATACATTCTGACACATGCTACCACATGGATGAATTCTAATGACATTGTGCTAAGTGAAGTAAGCCAGTCACAAGAACGCAGACTGTGTGGTATCATTTACATATAGTACCCAGAATAGTCAAATCCATAGAAACAGGAAGTAGAAAAGTATTTGCCAGGGACACGGAGGAGAGAGAAATAGAAAGTTATTGTTTCATGGGTACAAAATTTCCGTTCCGCAACATGAAAAGAGTCATGGAAATGGACAGTGGTGATGACTGCACGACAATGTGAAAGAGCTAAATGCCACTGCCTCTGCACTTAAAAATGATTAAGACGGTAAATGGTTAAGATGGTAAATTTTATGGTATGTGTGTTTACCACAATTAACATTTTTTAATATTCTTAAAATATCAATTACTGGCATGCAGTAAGCAGTTGGTACTTTCTAGATGAATAAATGGACTCTAAAATAGATTGTGGGCAAAATCAAGAACCACTTTGAATGAGGTAATCTAAGCCAAATGTAAACATTACCACTTCCAGGAAGCCAACTCCTCTCCCATGCCAGAATGAATCATGCCCCTCAGTGCACTCTCATTCACCCAGCAGCCTGTGCTAGAAATTCCCAGTTATTCTGGACAACTACCACCTCCTAATTCCCACCATCTACTCAACAAGTTTCATCCATTCAACTTTCAAAATGTCCATTAGATCTGCTGGCTCCCTTCCAACCTCACTGCATTCAAGCCCTCACAATCTGTCCAAAACTATGGTAATGGCCTCCTCTAACTTGTCTGAGAGGCAATGCTCCCTTCTCCCTCTGCCAAGCCACTATCCTCTACTGCTCACAGAATGAGGTATCCAAAACAAAACCAGACTATCCTCCCTTTTGCTTCAAGAGGACAAACTAAAAGACGCTTCCACCCACCCCATTTTGACTTTCTAACCTAATTCGGTGACCACACCCTATCCACACGAAATAATTCTACACCTCACTGCTCACTGAGTTCAAACACACCAAGCTCTTTGACGTCTGTTTCTTTGCACACAGTGTATCACAGCAGAACCATCATTCCATTCTTTCTCTCCTCAACCCAGGCCTGGCAAATTCCTACTCATGCTTTAAGACCCAGCACAGGCCGGGCACGATGGCTCATGCCTATAATCCCAGCACTTTGGGAGGCCAAGGCAGACAGATCACCTGAGGTCAGGAGTTGAAGAACAGCCTGGCCAACATGGTGAAACCCTGTCTCTACTAAAAATAAAAAAAATTTTAAAAAAATTAGCCAGGCATGGCAGCGCATGCCTGTAGTCTCAGCCACTCGGGAAGCTGAAACAGGAGAATCTCTTGAACCCAGGAGGCGGAGGTTGCAGTGAGCCCAGATCGCACCACTGCATTCCAGCCTGGGTGACAGAGCAAGACTCCGTCCCAAAAAAAAAAAAAAAGACCCAGCACACCCGTCCCATCCCTCATCCCTCATCTGTGTTCCTTAGAAGCCTGTATACCACAAAGTTGGTACTCTAACATTGTTACACAACAAATTTCCATATCTCTCACTATACCCCAATTATCTTTGCATTCCTAGTGGCTGGTGCACATTCCTTCTGCTTAAATATTTCTTCAATGAGCTTATACTACTTGTAACTAGCATAAAATATATTATTTCTGTTTTGTAAGTAGGACAAAAAATCCAGAGATCTTATCCTCCAGAGACATACTCTTTGTGGCCTAGGACTGTGCTTTACTCTCCCTTGGTTCTTTCAGGGCCTAGCCCATAATATGCTGTCTCATATTGTCTGCTGAAAGGAATTTCAAAATAGAACTACCCCTAGAAACCATCAAATTAGCTTTTATTATGCATTTTTCTCTCAAAGTGTCTATGTTCTCCTAACACAAAATGTTATGAAATCTAATTACATTTACAAAAATTAGCAAAGAAACAACACTGCAAACAACTTATTAGCCAATTCATGTCTCCTAAAACAGTAACACAAATAACATAAGTAGTTTATTTCTAAATAGGAATTCAGACTGGAAAGGTCAGTAACTGCTGTATATAGTACCTCTTCTTCTACCTTCCAATGTCCTATACCATAATTGATCTACACTTAAAGAAAAAAAATTCTCCCCAATTATAGGTACAACCACAGACAAAAAATAAATGCTTGCTGGACACATATGTGTCCAGCAACGAGCAATATGGTATATAAAATAGGTACTGTTTTTCCCATCTTACACACAGTGGAACTGCAGCTCCAAAAAAAAAACAAAAAAAAAAACTATTTTCTAGTCTAAGGTCACAAAAATTAGTTGAGAGAGAGCAAGACTTGAAACCACAATCATAAAACCATACAATGTCATGGGAATTTTAATCATGGTCCCTTCACTCTTCACTCAGGATGGTAAAGCACACTTACAGGCACAATGGAAATAACTGCACTACCGTGGGGTGTGCAGTCTTAATCAAAGATCCAGAGAAATAGTTTATTTATCCACTCTAGTTTTTGTATCTTAAGAGCATTTTGGTCTGGCTCAGTGGCTTACACCTATAATCCCAGCACTTTGGGACGCCAAGGCAGGAGGATCGCTTGAGGCCAGGAGTTTGAAACCAGCCTGGGCAACATAGTGAGACCCTGTCTCTACAAAATAAAAATTACAAAGTTAGTTGGGCATGGTGGCACATGCCTGTAGATGCAGCTACTCAAGAAGCTGAAGCAGCAGGTCTGCTTGAGCCCAGGAGTTCAAGGTTGTGGTGAGCTGTGATCACCAGTGTACTCTAACAGCCTTGGCGATGGGGCAAGACTCTGTCTCAAAAAAAAGAGGGTGGGGGGTGAGGGCAGGTATTCTACCAGTAGTATGACATGCAACAGAGAGTACTTTCTTCAAGAGACACATACAACACCTATCATTTGTCCTAAAGGCTACTCCGTTAGAGAAGTCTGGAACGGCTTGCAAACTGCAACAAAAAGAACACTGGCTTTGGAATGAAATTGACTTTGGCCGAAGTTCTGGATCCTGCCCTTACTAGCTCAATAAGTATCCTAGCTTCTTTGTATCTCATATTTCTGTAACTAAAACACAGAGATAAAATCTTCACAGGTTAGTGAATAAGGCAAATAAACAGCATCTAGCACATAGTAAGCACTCAATAAATAAATAAAGTTTCCTTCAACCTTTGCCAACCCTACCAGAATTTTGTCTCCAATTTTTGTATCCACACAAGATTAGAATTCAAATAACTTACCCGGTCCATAGTAAAATCAGTATGTGAATCATGGATTTTTGTCAAACTCATTTGTTTCGTGGATACAAACTTCACAACCAAAGTTAACAAAGTGAGCTAGAAGCCAAACTAAACTAGAATCTGGGTCTTTTAAACTACCCAGTTCAAAGCTCTTTAGTAAAAGGGGAAAGACTAACACCATACGAAGAGAAACCAGAGTATAAGTTCAGAACACAGATTCAAAGGCACAAATCTTTCAGGAAAACATCAGTAGAAACAACAAGACACCAAGACAAAACTAAGTCTGAATCGATTAAAACACATGACTCATCTATTCATAAGCTCTAGACTTAGAAGTCACATTAAGAAACTTCACAATGGATCTTTAAAACACAAAACAGACTTTAAACAATGGTAAGGAAAGCTCACCAGAATGTGCTAGGATACAGCATTCCAGATAGCTTATAAAAAAAGAAAAAAACACAACCACTGCTACATAAGGCCCTACTGAGTACTAAGAATGAACACACACAATGATAATAGCTAGAAGGAGGTAAGTGCAAGCAACGAAGGCAAAATAACTTTAAAGATAGTAACAATTTGTCAAACAAAGGCAAATTAATCATTGGCTTTTCAACACAGCCACAATCTAACAGCCATTCATTCAGTAAAGATTACTGAGCCCCTACCATAAGCTGGGAGCTAGGTACTAAAGATACAAAGGTGTGACACTAGCCCAGTAAAGGGAATGAGATATACAAGTACAACTTTACAACCAGGATAGGAAACAGTGTGCCAGAAATGCTTGAGAGGTCAGAAAGACAGCTTATAACCAACTGTGAGAATGAAGCAGGGTTTATGTAGGAAACATCCTTCAAGACTTAGCTTGAAAAGCTAAGGCAGAATTGGACATGAACAGATGGGAAGGAACATTTTGTGTGTCCCTAGGGTCTAGCCTCCACATTGGCACACAAAGTAATCAATATATGTTTCTCAAATGCATGAATGGGCAAAGGCACATGATGATAAATAAATACTTCACCACAGTGAGAGAACAGTTTTTAAAGCGTGTTGTTGCAGAACCAAACTGTGGCAGGCCTTACTCAGATTTTATTCGGTGGGCAATGAGGAACTACTATTTTTAAATGGGGCAGTGATACGACCAAAACTGAGCTAAAAGAAGAATAAACTGACAAAACATAAAACAGGTGACAGCTAAAAGAGAAAACCTGCCCTTAACTATGCTATTGACCTTATCTGCATCTGAGGTAATTATGCTTCAATCTTGGTCAGTCCCTCTCCTTAAAAATCTTTTACACTAATGATTTCTGATGATGTGTGTAGTAAAGTCAGGATAAGCTAGATTATACTATGGTAACAACAACCAGAAGGTATCAGAAGTTAACACAATGAAGTTTACTCCTCACTCACTCAAAGATCACTATGGCTCCAGGCAACTCTCTGGGGCAGCAATCCTTCAAGCCTCAGGGCAGTATTCCAACCTGATTTCATCATGTGGTACTGTCATAGCTACTTGTGCTTCCAGGTCCCAAAAGCAAGGAAAGAGAGAGAGCATTTCACGTCAGATTTTTTTTTTTTTTTTTTGAGAGGAGTTTTGCTCTTGTTGCCCAGGATGGCATGCGATGGTGTGGTCTAGGCTCACTGAGAATCGCTTGAACCACCTCCCGGGTTCAAGCGATTCTCCTGCCTCAGCCTTCCAAGTAGCTGGGATTACAGACATGCGCCACCACGCCCGGCTAATTTTTGTATTTTTAGTAAAGACAAGGTTTCACTATGTTGATCAGGCTGATCTCGAACTCCTGACCTCAGGTGATCCACCCACCTCAGCTTCCCAAAGGGCTGGGATTACAGGCATGAGCCACTGCGCCCGACCTCACATCAGCTTTTAAATGCTTCTAGCCAAAAGCGACACATTTCCATGGGACACAGCAAGTCACAAGACCATGCCATCTTGAAATAGGCTGGGAAATGTGATATTCCACATGCAAAAAGGAGAACTAGAAATTGTAGTGAGTGGCACTAATGCCCACCACGTTTTGATATTTTTACAGTGTCCAGCAATAAATTATGTTGTGAAGAAAAAAATGCCCAATTTCCTTGCATTAGGTACCACCATGGTAAATCCATTCTTAGGGCATCAAAGTTAGCACCACACTGATCATAAAACAATCTAATCTCTGTATGTTCACTGACTCTAAAGAATTTAGCATCACCTATTTTAGATTTTTTTCATATCTATTATTCTTTTAGGAATAATTTCCAACCATTAAAGAAAACATAGCTTATTTCATTCTGCTCTAATCTTACAAATTTCTCATTTTTTCCTTATTTATGAGGACCTAACAGATAAGGAATGGTATATACAATATAATCAAATCATTTCTGCCCTACTATTAAGAGTCCTTGGCATAACAAGCAGTTAAGAACAATGAACGTTGCTAATCACTTTTATTACCAGATTTCATTAATGAAAAACATGAGTAACAGCGGTGCTATTAAAAACGTCTCACAGCTACAAAACTCCTGTAACTTTAAGAAAGGCAGGTGAACATAATAAAGAATGCACACATTTTAGAAACACAATCCTAGTTTCAATCCCCAGCTCTTGCACTTCTGGCTGTGGGAGTTTAGCCAAGCTACACAATCTTAGTAAGCCTCAACTACCATTTACGGCAGAGCTAACTCCAGCTACTTCACAAGACCACCCCAGGGTTAAGTGAGACATACAGATAAAATGCTACAAAGTAAGTGCTCGAAAAAAAAAATGGCAGCTAGCATAAATAGGTTTTGATAAGCAAGGAGTATGATTCTTTGCATCTTTTTATCAGGATTTCCCAAGCTCCCGGAGAGCTAAAAAGTATTTTAATTTCTAATTGCTTAGTTGAGAACTATCTCATGGGCAGTTAACATCAGAGCACAGCCTAGCAGTCAGATACCACGATCCCCCATTGTATTATACAGTTCCTTCATGATTCAGCCAGTAAAATTTCCCTAACCATGAAAGACTTATACCAAGAACAAAGACATCCAGCCAACAGATGGAGATTCATAAACACCAAATCCTAGGCACCAGAAGGCACTTTCAACATATTTCAGTCCAGATGTTTCCAAACTGATTTTTTGGCCATGGAAGTGTCTTCGAAGGAAACATTACAGGAAACACAAAAATAAACTAGAGGAAAGTGGAACTACTCTGTGTAGCACCACTTGCTCTCTTTTTCATGCCCTCCCCAATCTCACTTGGGCCCTTGATGTAATTCCAAGGATCTCCAGGACTTGAGGATACTTTTTGGGGAAAACACAACAAAGAACCAAACAAAAACCTGATACAGTTTAACCGTTTCATTTTTGATGGGAGAATTGAGGTGGAGTGGGCTAAGCAACTTGCCCAAGGTTGTTGGCAGCAAACTAAACCAAATTTATTGAATCCTAATCCAGTGTCTGTTCACTAACAAGTTTTTCTCAGCTACAGAATGTTTTACATCAGAATTTATCCTTTACATTTCTACCAGTCAGTGAGTTTCCATCTTCCTATTTTTAATCTGGCATTCTTATTACTACTGTCTTGTTACTCATTCTCTTATTATTTTGTTCCCCATTATTATTGTCCTATGTCCCAGAAAAACTGCACAGAAACATTTAATTCCTACCACTGATTTACCAAGCTAATTGTTTATCCCAGATCCCTAAGACAGGAAAGAAAGTAGGGAGACCTAAGGAAGAATCCTCTGAAATGTGAGATACCAAGGTCCTATTTGTTGGTTGACCTGCTAATTGTTATTACTCTCTTTTTTACAACCTCAAAGGGACAGTTTAAGAGAATACTGAGACAAAAATGACTAGCTTCTTTGGTAAACAGTTTATAATAGCTCAAGTTACCAGGGGGAGGAAACAGTAAAAAAGCAGAATGGCACACTTCTGAGATTTAAGCCCAAATAATGCTGTTGTAACAGAGAAAACAAATCAAAGCTGGCCTTGCCCCAAAAGATTTCCAAAACAGAGGTCCTTTGGGAGGTCTATAAAAATTCTGATCAATTCAGGTTGGCAGAGGAGACGTCCTCAAAATTCTACATAGGGTTCCTTACCAAAACCAAGTAACATCTAGACTTCATAACGAAACTAACAGTTCAATAATCAGGTATACTACATAAAAAACTGGGTGGTTTCAAGACCACAGAAGCCCTCCCACATCTGAATTAACTATCTACATGTTCCAAGACTTTATTATAGAACCATCATAAATTAAATTTCTACATCTAGTGATATAATATGCCGGGCACAGTGGCTCGTGTCTATAATCCCAGCACTTTGAGAGGCCAAGGCAGGTGGATCACCTGAGGTCAGGAGTTTGAGATCAGCTTGACGAACATGGTAAAACCCAATCTCCAATAAAAATATGAAAATAAGCCAGGCATGGTGACACACACATGTGATCCCAGCTACTTGGGAGGTTGAGGCAGGAGAATCGCTTGAATCCGGGAGGCGGAGGTTGCAGTAAGCCAAGATTGTGCCACTGCACCCCAGCCTGAGCAACATACTCTGTTTAAAAAAAAAAAATATATATATATATATACATATATATATATATGGCTACTAAATTATGATTAATCAGCTATTTCTCTGTAACCAGAAATAGGCTGAATATCAACAAGATACTCCTAAGAATGGTCAACAAAACAGAGACAAGCTGGTGTATCAACAGTGCCAAGAGATCACCTTACACAGCTACCTGACTTACAACTTCCTATACAACTAGTTCTTCCTACTTATAATACAGAAAACCTTCACAAATATTATGATTGAAAATCATTATTATAGCTGAGACCAGTTGACTAATCTTTGGCTCAGAGAAAAAGGTTTGCCTACATTAAAGTCAAGAACACAGTTTCAATGTTTAATTTGCTTGTTTTCTTGATTATCTAAACCATGATGTCAATATGTAACTGTGATTTGAGGAACATATGTGGATTATACGTATTTGTACTTTCAGAACTAAATTTTGTTTTTTAATTTTTTTTTTAGAGACAGGATCTTGCTTTGTCACCCAGGCTGGAGTAAAGGCAGTGTGATCATAGCTCACTGTAACCTCTAACTCATGGACTCAAGTGATCCTTCCGCCTCAGCCTCTCAGGTAGCTACAACTATAGGCATGCATCACCACCCAGCTAATTTTTTAATTTTTATTTTGTAGAGACAGGCTCTCACTATGTTGCCCAGGCTGGTCCTGAACTCCTGGCCTCCTGACTTCAAGCTATCCTCCCACCTCAACCTCTCAAAATGCTGAGATTATAAGTGTGAGCCACTGAGCCTGGCCCAGAACTAAAAGCTTTAACAGTCAGGCGCAGTGGCTCATGCCTGTAATCCCAGCACTTTGGGAAGCCCAGGTGGGAGGATCACTTGAGGCCAAGAGTTTGAGGAGACCAGCCTGGTCAACACAGCGAGACACCATCTCTAGAAAAAATAATAATGAAATAAATAAATAAATAAGTTATATTAATTCTAACATGCATTTAGATAAGCAACAGAATGGCCACAGATCATCTTTCACAGGGCTCTTTGTGTAGAAGAGGACCTTACTCCTCAGCATCTCTAAATCTTATCTCAAATACTTCCCTGTTTTATTGCTGGAGTTAATCTGAACCGACAACTAAGAACAAGCCAAAGGAACATGATATCAGTGACTTTATTTGAAAGTTTCCTCCATCTGTCTTTTAATATTGAGAACTCAGATTAACGTTTAGCACCTAAGAGGACAGTAACGATGCTTCGTGAGTTTCTTCATATCCTTTTAGAAATACAGAGTTCTTTCATTTTTTCTTTGGTTGCCAGTAATCCAGTAATTCTATGAGTAATTATCTTATGGCATCTAAAACTTTATTTATTTATTTATTTATTTTTTTATTTTTTTATTTTTTTTTTTTTTTTTTTTGAGACGGAGTCTCGCTCTGTCGCCCAGGCCGGACTGCGGACTGCAGTGGCGCAATCTCGGCTCACTGCAAGCTCCGCTTCCCGGGTTCACGCCATTCTCCTGCCTCAGCCTCCCGAGTAGCTGGGACTACAGGCGCCCGCCACCGCGCCCGGCTAATTTTTTGTATTTTTAGTAGAGACGGGGTTTCACCTTGTTAGCCAGGATGGTCTCGATCTCCTGACCTCATGATCCACCCGCCTCGGCCTCCCAAAGTGCTGGGATTACAGGCGTGAGCCACCGCGCCCGGCCTGCATCTAAAACTTTAAAAACGTGTTTTCTAAAAGTTATGGGGAAATAGTAAATAGGAACTGTCATATTCTGCCAGTAGAAGTATAAATGACAAAAGCTTTCTGTAGACAACTTGACAATATCTATGAACAGCTGCTGAAATGTACACCATTTGCCCTAACAATTCCATTTCTCTAACAAAGTAAACAAGGACACACAGATGTATGTATAAGGCTGTCCTTCAAAGCAATGTTTATAATAGCATAGAGGAAAGAGGCAGGAGGAAGGGTGATGGGGAAAAAAGATACACAACCTATTCAAATAATAGGAAATGAACTGAAGATAAACTTAAGTTCATACAAGGAAATACTATATAGCCATTAAAATAACTATGTCAGTTACTTGAAATCATATAAAGGTGGCTGGCGGAAACACGTGGATCACTTGAGGTCAGGAGTTCAAGACCAGCCTGGCCAACATGGTGAAACCCCATCTCTACTAAAAATCCAAAAATTAGCCGGGCGTGGTGGCATGTGCCTGTAATCCCAGCTACTCGGGAGGCTGAGGCAGGAGAGTTGCTTGAACCTGGGAGGCAGAGGTTGCACTGAGTAGAGATTGCGCCACTGCACTCTGGCCTGGGCGACAGAGTGAGACTCTGTCTCAACAACAACAAAAAAGAAATCATATAAAGGTACATTGATGAAATGTTTTATAACCTGTTTATGCTCAAGAGTACATAAAATACGCCACATATGGCTAGTCCACATATGGGCTGTATATATGTACATACACACACTCTCTCTCTACAAGTTTTCAAGTTTGGAAAGAAAAATTATACCCAACAATTTTCTCTAGGTAGTGTCATTTATGTGTACTTTTGGGGGACTATAGTTCCTAAATTTCTAGAGGAACTGTACATTACTGTTGTAATAAAAATAAGACTTATTAAAAATGTCTTTCATAAATCATGAAAACGATCTGATGACTCCTAGAATAAGAGATTAACCATAAAAATAAATCTACTGGCAAAGTCAAAGTTACATAAAGTTCTGCCAAAATAATAGCTCACAATGATGTCCCTTTCACATCATTACTCGTTTCAACTCTCGCCAGAATGAGGAATGCTGAGCAGAGTATAAGTTCTAGAGTAAGATCCATGTTCAAGTATGAACTCAGCCACATACTAACTGTGTGACCCTGAGCAAGTCCAGCCTCTCTGGGCCTCTGTCTCCTCATCCATAAAATATGGATACTTCCACATTTTGTGAGGATTAGAATTATGAGGATTAAAATGAGACAAGGGTTTGTAGAGTACTTACTACTACACTTGGCAAATGGAAAGTAATAATAAATGATGGCAATTATCACTATTATTGTTACTGCCTATCAATCAAGAAACAAAATCATGAGTGCTTTAAGGGCAGTGACTACATCTTATTTTGTTTATTCCTCAATCCCTGGTGCCCAGTAGTGTGCCTGACATACAACAGGCCTTAAATAAAATGCTGAATGAAGTATATATAAAATTAGCTATTAATTTCTCTGAGCTTCAATTTCCTTTTCTGGTAAAATCATAAAAATACCTTCCTTGCAGAGATAAGACCTGACCTATATAAGACACTTAGATGAATAGCTACCAATAGATCAATAATGGTTCCCAATAAGTGACAGCTATTATATTAGTGAACTTGTCCCCGCAGATTTCAACATGCATCAAGGCTGAGGGGAGAGAATAAATATAATTTTTCTTCTGAATTAGTATTTGAGTCCCGAGGTATCTCACAGATGAACCATTACCTTTATTTGAGCTCGGGAAAGAAAACTCTCCATTTATGGGCACATATCCCAGTGAGCTAACTAATAAAGTGATCATCTTTAGACTGCCACAAGCACTTTTGGCAAAGCAGCCAAAATAATTCTTTACCACAGAGGGGGTGAAAGAGGAGTATTTCAAAGAATCTATGCACTTAGGACATAATATTTACAAAAAGTGCTATGAAAAACAATGTATCAGTTGTTTTTGGGCCTTCAAATGAAAGCTTTTAAGATATCAACACTGTTTTTAAATACATTGCCAAATAAATTATTAAGGAAATACAAGATTTATGGAGGTATTCAATTACCTTAAAAAGTATTTTCTTTCACAAAAGTCAAAATACTTGGGAATGCATTATTTAAAAAATAATCCTCGGGGGGCGGGGGGGAATCACCAAATTCAATGGGGGGAACAAAAGACTACTGACGTGAAAACAAAAATAATTATGTATAAATCATAGCATTCCTGTGCTGGTACTTAAGAGAAACAGTTATCTTAAAAAAAAAAAAAAAAAAAAAGTCTAACATACGAGAGGACTCAAAAAAACTGCACAGATCAGTAATTTGTGCAGCTTTAATTTTCCATGTCTAATTTGACAGAAACCTCAAATTTCATATAAAAGTGCTTAATAAAAGGTTTGCAGTCCTATTTCTGCAATTACTCTGCTGAAAGGAAAACAGGCTACTCAGCACTCATTTGCTTTGAGTTAAAGTTGTCTGTTTCATATCCTGGAAACCTATCGTGCCTTGTTTTACAGAGGCATTTCATGGTTTACAGTATTATACATTGGAGTAAAAATACCATTTAAAAATCACTAAAAAGAATAGTTCGTAGTGACTTTCAGGACAACTAGGACAAACATATTATAGTAAAGCATGGGTGAATTTTATGGTATATGAATTATATCAAAACAAAGCTTTTTTTAAAATAATGCATGTAGAGAATAGCAAAATCTTGCTAGAATCTGGGTAATGAGTATATGAGTCAATTCTACCGTTCTACTGTGAACATGTTTTACAATCATAATTTTGTTTTTTAATTAAGCCAGCCATCACGCACCACATTCTTAGGTCAACCATCCATATGCCAATGATGAAGTTGCTGAAGAGGTTAAAACGGAAAGTGACAGAGCCCTACGTGGACCAAGCACAACCATCAGGCAAGAGCTGTATAGATTTTACCACCAAACTTGGTCAATACCAAACTTCCATTTAACATGATGTCTTCTCTTTCCCCAAAAGGAATGCTTTAAACTGACCAAAATCAAACTAAAACTGATGCTAGAAAAGAAAAAATAAACATCTGTTCATTTATTCGCAACAGGATAGATTTTATTAAGTTTAATATATACATGTATGTTATGTGTGCATATGTATGTGTGTGTGTGTGTGTGTGTGTATGTATGTATAGTCAAAAATTCATTCATCCTTCCATCAACCCATATATTTCTTGAGAAGCAACTATTATGTGCCATTGTTGCTGGGGATACAGCAATAAACAAAGCAGATAAAATTTGCCCTCAAGAAGTTTATAATCTGGGAGGAAAGATAGACATGTGATATTACATTACCCCATCTATTCAGTGGGCAATCTGACAGTACATCCTACTAGATTAACCGGGGAAAGGAAATGAACACTGGGCAAAGACAATACGGAAAAATCAAAGAGGTAACCAAAAACAGTACAACTCAAATCCCTAATCTAAATAGGAAAAACAATCATTTATTGGATTGTTTGGAAACCAGCTAGGTTTCCAAAAGAAAACTTCTATCTTGTCTTATACATACAATCTGTCCTATCGAAAAGTCTCCCTTTTCAAAAAGATAAATAAACACTGCCTTCAGATATCCTTTCAAATAAAAGAGTAACTTTAACCGCTTAACTAAGCCAATCTCAATTATTCATAATTCATATATAGTATTACTCAATGTCCGGCTGTAAAATATTCCTTCCAAGTTACCATAAATCTTGGCAGAACAGAAAGATAAGTTTAAACCTGGGTGTATTTCATGTTACAAAGAGGTTCAACAGCCACAGCCAACTCATCCCACCTTTAAATTTTCAGATTTCAAGAAGAGAAGGAAAGGGATGGAGAAAAAAAGAAAGACTTGAAAAACAACACTATTGGATAGAGGCAAAAGTTCAGGGCCATTCTTATACAGCCCCATTAAAAGAACAGATTCTCATTCATTATAAAAATTTAATTAAATATACATGCCAAGCTATCAGAATTCTTCTCCTTTCTGAGATCACATACTAAGTAAGGTTTCTCTGGCAAGGTTATCTACACAAAGATTCTTCTGAACAATGAACGGTTCCTCTGAACAATGGGCTATAAGCACTGATTAAAAGGAACTTGCATGTCCTGTCTTAGGAAATTACCCAGACACACTATTTATCAAATAATTCTATTTACTGTACTGTATTAGAAAAAGTGTTTATAGTAATGAGGTTGACAAGAATAGTAAGAAAATTAGTTACTCCAAGCAAAGTAGAAAGGAGTCGTTGCAACTCTGAAGAATCCTCACTAATGTGAAAATAACCTCTGTCCCATTTCATGTCCAAGAGTCTAAGTTTTATATCTTTCTCTGGCCATCCTTCTAGGACTCAGTGAAAGGTGAGTCAGCAAATACCATTTCACAGAACAAAAGAACTCAAAGGCAAAAGAGCAGTAACCTACCTGCTCAAGGTCACACAGTCAATTATGTGACAGAACCCAGCTAAATTGGGACTACTGTCTCCTTCCAACTACAAACCTTGCCAAGTTAAAGCCATTTTACCAGGGGGTGGGAGGAGAGGAGATGGAATCAGGTGACAAGCAGTTGTGAGGAAACTAGCAAAGTATCTAGTTATAGAGCTATTATTTCCTAAATCAAGAGTGAAAAATAAAAGATTTTTTCCCTAGAAATTAACATGCATGCTCCATTCATTTGCCAGAGTCTCTGCTCCAACAACATCCTGGCCTTCAAAATGCTCAAAGGGATGAATCAAGGACAATTCACATTTAAGGGACTACGGAAGAGAAAGTTGCATTACATGACCCAGGTCTTTCCCCAACCATTCCACCCTGTCTTCTGTTGGGTCCACATAATCCACTCCCCTGTATTACAGAGAAGATATACACCCAAAAAACATGTTTGATATGAGCCAAACTGGGCTGAAAGCTAGGCAGGTAAGAAAAGATGTTTAGAACTTCATGGTGCATACCTGTATTTTTCTTACTGAGGGCTTGCTTACTCCTTCTCCCCCTAACACTTCAGTACTACTAAAATGAACCTAAAAAACTGGTTTTTCAACTTCCTATATAGTTTACACATGAACTAATTAAATGTTTGTAAAACACTTTGAAGATGTGAACAAATGTGTAAATGTTAATTATTAATGTCCATCCACAAAGCTTCTGTATGTGAAGGAAAATACAGTTCCACAATTCTATTGGCAAGTTTCTGCTACTTTCAAGGCACAAACATGGAAGCCTAGCATGTTTTTAAGAATTCTAGGAAAACTTTAAGAGCAGACCACAATCAATGATTTTCTATTTACACCAAGAACAAGATGGAATTTTAAACTAGCTACTTTGGATATAATTACATCAAAGTGAAAAAAATGTGACTTATGGCATATATAATAAAACTAGAGTTATGTTTGTAGTCACAATGTCCCAGATCAAAATTGTAGTTCATTGACTTGAGAGAAGCAAACTTAAATCTCTAAACCCTAGTTTTTTCATCAAAAAAGGGAGAAAGAATAATATCTGTCTTATAGGATTACTGTAAGGAATTAAGAGAATGTAGATAACATAACACGTAGGTAAACACACAAAAGTTTCTTCTTCCCTTTATAGTAACTTTACTTTTTCAAAAACACCTTATAGAAAATGACCTCAAAAAACCTCTCTAGACTGGACATACACACTATTCTATGCTCTAAACATACACACAGCACTATTTTGGCAGGAATGCCCAAGCAAAAGCTTTGGCTATTACTGCCCACTGACCCATGCATGCCTTTAATCCCTGAAGAGAGGAAGCACCTCAGCCAGCCCCCAAGGCTTCATGTGATCAAATGAACACTTAGAACTCTACTTCCCAACTCTTGTTACCGTATTTTTTCCCCAAATAACTCCCAAACTGCAAAGTCTCATCTATAGTTCCTTTCTATTCTGAGCCCAGCCGCTCTGTGTACAAAGCATCCAAGAGGATGTACACTCTGTGTACAAAGCATCCAAAAACCATTTTCTTCCAGCTTGTTAAAGGTAAAAGAAATTATTTCCATGCAATGTCACAACGGACCTCCCTTCTCCCACTCCAGAAACACACCCACTTAGACAAGGCAGAACTCAAATGCCAAGACAAGGATGATAGATTAATTTACAGATACCACCCAAATCACTGAGTATGTTTTTAGAAGTGATTCATGAATTACTGAAAATGCCAAATTTGTCAAAAGCCCCTGTCATATCCACCACCTTTAGGACAGCTATCACCTGGGAAAAAGGATACTTCTAAAAATCTAAGTTAATGCTGATGGTGTAATTCAGATTTTAAAACAAAACAACTTCATGCTCAGTTCAATTATTCTGAAGAGATCTGCCCACCACAGTGCAACATAAAGTACCCTTTCAACAAAATGGTGCCACGATTAGCCTGGTGGGAAGAGTATGTGCTAACAATTTTTCCAGGAACTGTTATGGACTCATTTCAAAACCACCCAGAGCCAGGTGCAGTGGCGTGTGCCTATAGTCACAGCAACTAGGAAGGCTGGAGTGGGAGGACCACTTAAACCCAAGAGTTCAAGTCCAGCCTAGGCAACACGGCAAAACCTCATTTCTTAACAAAAAAAAGAAAGAAAATACTCTTAACTGATTCCCATTTACGATTAAGATTATTCTGTAATCCCAGCACTTTGGGAGGCCAAGGCGGGTGGATCGCAAGGTCAGGAGATCAAGACCATACTGGCCAACATGGTGAAACCCTGTCTCTACTAAAAATACAAAAATTAGCCGGGCGTGGTGGTGCACGCCTGTAGTCCCAGCTACTCAGGAGGCTGAGGCAGGAGAATCACTTGAACCTGGGAGGCAGAGGTTGCAGTGAGCCGAGATAGCGCCACTGCACTCCAGCCTTGGCGACAGAGCGAGACTCCATCTCAAAAAAAAAAAAAAAAAAAAATTATTAAGGGCTCACATTTTTAAGACAATAGACTATACATAGTAAAAAAAAAAATGGAATAAGTAATATCAGCAACCACAAACAAATGAAACCCACTACCCTAGAAACTCACCAACTGAGCCCAACCTCAAAAAATATTATTAACTCCTTTTATTAAGAATAAGAATAGAGCCGGGCATGGTGACTCACGCCTGTAATCCCAGCACTTTGGGAAGCGGAGGTGGGTGGATCACGAGGTCAGGAGTTCAAGAACAGCCTGGCCAACATGGTGAAACCTCATCTCTACTAAAAATACAAAAATTAGCCAGGTATGGTGGCACATGCCTACAGTCCCAGCTACTCGGGAGGCTGAGGCAGGAGAATTGCTTGAACCTGGGAGACGGAGGTTGCAGTGAGCCGAGATCGCACCGCTGCACTCCAGCCTGGGTGACAAAGCAAGACTCTGTCTCAAAAAAAAAGAATAAGGAGGCCAGGTGCAATAGCTCACACCTATGATCCCAGCACTTTGGGAGGCCAAGGTGGGTGGATCGCTTGAGTCTAAGAGTTCAGGAACAGCCTGGACAACCTGGCAAAACACCACCTCTACAAAAAGTACAAAAATTAGCTGGACGTGGTGGTGCACACCGGTGGTCCCAGCTGCTGGGGAGGCTAAGGTGGGAGACTCACTTGAGCCCAGAAGGGAGAGGTTGCAGTGAGCCGAGATCGCGCCACTGCACTCCAGCCTGGTCAAAGGAGTGAGACCCTGTCTTAAAAAAAAAAAAAAAAGAAAAGAAAAGAATAAAGACAAATATACACTCTGCAGAAAATCAAAAGATCAAAAGTTACCCTCATCTACTTTGCAGTAGCCTCCTTCCAGACTATCTTCGTATATGTGTATGTGAAGTACATTCAAATAATACACTAGCATCACATAAAAACGTCATTATCTTTCCACTATCACCAATATCCTTACAGACTACAAATGGAAAATAGAGTTCACTAATATTTTTATCATGCTTAGAGAAGAAAAGTTTTCAGCATGTTTAGAATCCTAACTAATTCTGATATAATATGCAAGATAATTGTTTTAGGTCACTACCATCTTCCTTCATTCATATCTAGCCTTCCTTTAGTTACTATACATAGTGGTGGTTGTTTTATGACTGTCATGATTATTAACTACTATGCCATGAGCCCCTATTATGGAGCTTTATATATCCCTAATTCCCACTAAAACCTCCCACTCTCCCTTCTCTATCTACAATTCTCTAATTCATACACCCAGTCCAGACCATCACTGAACTCCAGAACTGTATATCCAAATGCTTACTGATACCTTCACTTAAAAATTTCACAGATCTCAAACTTAGCATGTCAACAGGGAAATCACAATTTCAACCTCTCAGCAAACTGATTCCACATCTTCCCCATTTACCCAGTTGTTCAGGTAAAACACCTAGGAATCCTCCTTAATTTCTTTCTTTCCTTTAGAACCTTTTTCCAATCTGTAAGTAATCCTATAGTTCTATTTTCAGCGTATATGGATTCAAACCGCTTCTCACCACTTTCGCTGCTACCACCCTAATCCAAGCCACCATCTTCTCTAGCCTGAACGACTGCAAATCTCTTAACTAGTCTCTCCGTTTCCACTACTGCTCCCTATGCCAAGAGTAAAGTTTTTAAAGCCTAAATCAACCTTGTCATGCCTTGCTCAAATCCTTCAGCTGTTTCCCACCATACCTAAGAGCCTATTTGATCTGGTCTCTGGCTACACATACAAACCTTATCTCCTCACGCTCTTTCTCACCCATTCCAGCCACACCAGGCTCCCTGTTCATTCTCCCATCTCAGGTCCTTTGCACTTGATGTTCCTTCCATACTTCCTCTGAATCTTCATGTGACTTGCTCCCTTGACTTTCTTCAGGTCTGTTCAAATCTCACCTCCTCAGTAAGGCCTTGTCTGACCTCCCCAATCTCTGCTAATACTCTTCATATCCTTCCTAGAATCATCACCACCAGACATGACTGCAATTGTTTGTTCACTCGTTTATTTTCTACTTCCCTCAATAGGATATAGATTAACGGCAGCAACTACAGATGTCACTGAATTCCCATTACCTAGAACCGTGCCTGACAAACAAAAGATACTTGAAAAAATTAACAAACAACCCTACAAGGTATGTCATATAACCATTTGCCAAGAGAAAAGAGAAGATTAGATTTCAGAGACAAATAACTTACCTAAAGCTGCATAGTAAATAAATAGCAAATGCACCTGAAAGAGCCAGCACTCTACCCACTGACTCACTACAACTTGCGACATAAAGCATATATGCTAAGAAACAAAAACGCAAAAGCAAGCATTTCTACATGAAAACACCAGATCACAAGTGTTACAGATCTTTTAGAATCTGTCTAGCAGGTTTTCTGCTTTTCACTGGAAGACTCCCCCACGGGGGGACAGAAAATAATAGATTATAGTGATCCTTCTCTTTCTGTTCATCACCATAGCAATTCATTTCTTTGATTAATCTTAGGTATGTACCATGTGCCTCTTCAACTAAAAGATACCTACATTGTTTTGTATTTCCCACAAAGCAATGGCTGAGCTACTGTCAGAAGATAGTCAACAAATACTTCTTTGTTATTTATACCCCCAAAGATTTTGAGAATCCTGTAATGAAATTTTAAGAACCACCAACAAAGCATACTCACCCAAAGGACTTCAGCTGCTAACCATGACGGAGTAACTGGATCCAGATTTATCCTGGCATCCTCCCTAACTACTAGAAAAGTGGACAAAATGCATGAGGCAGCATCCTTTAGAGCCTGAACAACAGGTAGCACAGAACTGCAGTCCCAAAGAGAAGGGAACAAATGAGATAAGCCCTAAAATCGCCCCAGCTTTCTGGCTGGAGGTACCTTCTAGACCATGGTGCAATGAGGAGGATCAAGCACAACATGACAGCCTTGTCAAGTTTAGAAAACAAACATAGCTTGGGAAGGCTAAGGAGTTTGAAAATTGCAGAGTACGAGAGAAGAGGAGGGAGCTGTATGAAAAAGGAGCTCCAGAAATCAGCATAGAGGCCCCATGAGTCTCACACCCAGTAGTAAGCCAAGCATGCATATTGTAAAAATACATGAGGGCACGCAAAGAATCACCCAGGAACTGTAAGCTAAATGATCTCCAAAGTTCACACAGGGCTGGGAGACATTTGTGTTCTCAACTGCCAGAATAGAGTCCTCAAGGAGAGCCCAATTCTTCAATGAAAACTACAGGAGCTTCATGCCTTAGTAATGGGGTGTAACAAGCAACTTACACACATAAGTTTGGCAACTTAACTTGCCAAAACAAAGTATGATACTCTTTAAAGCAATGGTTCTTGTGTTTGAAATAACTTTACCCCCAAGGAGACATCTGACATTTAACAGATAAGGACTCAACAACTATCATGAATATTATACATATGATCAAGAACCTATTTTTAAAATGAACATAACGGGAAACAAATGGAAGAAATAAAAAAAGATTCAGTAGCAAATGGAACCCAAAGACATGTAAAAAATAATACATCACGACTAAATGAGTATTATCACAAGAATGCAAAGCTATTTCAACGTATTACACCAGACTAAAGAAGAAAAAACATATGATTATGTCAATAAATACAGAAAAACCTTTGACAACATTCAATATCTATTCATGATAAAAACTCTCAGCAAACTAAACATAGAAGACAATTTCCTCAACTTGATAAAAGACATCTACAAAAACAAACACCTATGGCTACCATCATATTAATGGTCAAACACTCAGTGTTTTCCCCTCTAACATCAGGAAAAAGGAAAGGATGTCCACTTGTAAAACTCCTATTACACATTACACTGAGGGTCCTAGATAGTTCAGCAAAGTAACAAAAAGAAATCACGCCCAGCGCTGTAGCTCACGCCTGTAATCCTAGCACTTTGGGAGGCTGAGGCTGGCGGATCACTTGTGGTCAGGAGTTTGAGACCAGCCTGGCCAACATGGTGAAACCCAGTCTCCACTTAAAAAAAAAAAAATACAAAAATTAGCCGGGCATGACAACATGCACCTGTAATCCCAGCTACTTAGGAGGCTGAGGCACGAGAATCACTTGAACCTGGGGGGCCACAGGTTGCAGTGAGCTGAGATCGCACCACTGCACTCCAGCCTGGGTGACAGAGCGAGTCTCTATCTCAAAAAAAAAAAAAGGAAATGAAAGTATACAAAGTGAAAACGAAGAAATCAAACTGCCCTTATTTGCCAATGACAATAATGTCTATGCAGAAAATTCCAAAAATCTACAAAAAAAGCTTCTATTACTAAAAATGAGTTTAGCAAGGGTGTAGGATCCAAGGTCAGCAAATAATATAAAATGATCTTTCTATATACCAGCAATGAGCAACTGGAAATTGAGAAGTATCATTCACAACAACACCAGAATACATGAAATACATGTATAAGATTACAAAACACATGCAAGATCCAATTGCTAAAAACTACAAAACACTAATCAAAAATCTAAGGTCTAAATAGATATACCATGTTCATGGCTCATTATTAAAATGTCAATTGCCCCCTAACTGATTTCCAGCTTCAACACAATGCCAATCAAAAACCACAGCAGGCTGGGCATGGTGGGTCATGCCTGTAATCCCTACACTTTGGGAGGCCACAGTGGGAGGATCACTTCATCCCGGGAGTTTGAGGCCAGCCTGGGCAACATAGAGAGACTCTGTCTCTACAAAAATAAAAAAATTAGCCAGGTAGTGCATGACTGTGATCCCAACTACTTGGGAGGCTGACGTGGGAGAATCGCTTGGGCCCAGGAGATCAAGGCTGCAGTGAGTGGTTATCCTACCACTGCATTCCACACTGGACAACTGAGTGAGACCCTATCTTTTTTTGTTTTTTTAAGACGGACTCTCGTTCTATCACCCAGGCTGGAGTAAAGTGGCGCAATGTCGGCTCACTGTAACCTCCATCTCCCGGGCTAAAGCAATTCTCCTGTCTCAGCCTCCCAAGTAGCTGGGATTACAGGCGCCCACCACCACGCCCAGCTATTTTTTGTATTTTTTAGTAGAGACGGGGTTTTGCCATGTCAGCCAGGCTGGTCTCGAACTCCTGATCTCAGGTGATCCACCCGCCTCAGCCTCCAAAGTGCTAGGATTACAGGCGTGAGCCACCACACCCGGCTGAGACCTCATCTTAAAAAAGAAAAAAAAGAAAAAGAAAAACCCAGCAGGACTTGTGGATAACAGCAAGATGAATCTAAAATATGCACAAAAGGCAATGCAACTAAAATACCCAAAAAACAATTCTGAAAAATAATAAGATAACTCACACTACCTGATTTTAAAACTTACTCTAAGGTGACAGTAATCAACAGTGAGGTGATAGAGAAATGAAAGACACAGATCAATGGAATAGGAGAGAGAATCCAGAAACAAAACCACACATTTATGATCAACTTGCAAAAAAAAAAAGGCACAAAGGTAATCAACAGAGAAAGGACAGTCTTTTCAAAAACTGTTGCTGGAAAAATTGTAAATCCATCCACAAAAAAATAAACTCAATGCATACCTTGCACCATTTAGGAAAATTAAATCAAAGCAGATAATAAATGTAAATATAAAATTTTAAATGATAAAACTTCTAGGCGAGCCGGGCACAATAGCTCACGCCTGTAATCCCAGCACTTTGGGAGGCTGCGGTGGGTGGCTCACTTGAGGTCAGGAGTTCAGACCACCCTGGTCAACATGGTGAAACCCCATCACTAGTAAAAATACAAAAATTAGGCATGGTGGTGGGTGCCTGTAATCCCAGCTACTCAGGAGGCTGAGGCAGGAGAATCACTTGAACCCGGGAGGCGGAGATTCCAGTGAACAAGATCTCACTCACGCCAGCCTGGATGACAGAGTGAGACTCCATCTCTAAAAAAAAAAATAATAACTTGTAGGAGGAAATATAGGGGAAAGTCTTTGAGCTCTTAAGTTAGGCAAAGATTTCTAAACTATTATACCAAAAGCATGATCCACTCAGGGAAAAAACAAAAAAACAAAAAAACACTGGATATCATAAAAATTAAGAACTTCTGCTCTTCAAAAGACATTATTAAGACAAGAAGGCCAGACACAGTGGCTCGCGCCTGTAATCCCAGCACTTTGGGAGGCCGAGGCAGGCAGATCACTTGAGGTTAGGAGTTCAAGATCAGCCTGGCCAACATGGAAAAGCCCCATCTCTACTAAAATACAAAAATTAGCTGGGTGTGGTGGTGTGTGCCTGTAATCCCAGCTACTCGGGAGGTTAAGGCAGGAGAATCACTTGAACCCAGGAGGCAGACGTTGCAGTGAGCCAAGATCTCACCACTGTACTCCAGCCTAGGTGACAGAGCCAAACTCCATCTCGAAACAAACAAACAAAAAAAGACATTATTAAGACAAGTAAAAACAGACTAGGAGAAAATATCTGCAAATCATGTATTTGATTCCAAAGTATATACAAAAACTCATTTTTTAAGCAAAAGATTTTGAATTGACATCAAAGAATGACAAATAATCAGATGAAAAGATACTTAATATCATTAGTCATTGGGCAAATGAATAAAAAGGCTACATTCCGTGTGATTCCATTTTTACAACATTCTTGAAAAGGCAAAAAACCATGGAGACAGAAAACAGATCAGCAATTTCCAGAGTCTGGGGGTAGAGAACCGGTTGAGTACAAAAGGGCTCAGAAGAATTCTGGAGGATGAAGGGACTGTCCTGTTTGCAGCAGTGGATATATGAATGTATACACCTGTCAAAACTCAGAGAATGTTACACTAAAATGGCGGAATTTTAGTGAATGTAAACTATACATATGAATAATTAAAGAATGAAAAAATAGAGACTAAAGAGACATAATGATGTGCTGAGTGAACTTTAATTTTACTCTGTCCAAAATTTTTCTTAATCAACTATAAAAGATATTTGGGAGACAAATAGAGAAAGTTGAATAGGTATTGAATAATATTATAGAATTAACGTTAATCTTTCTTGTTGTGAATAACTGCAGTTGGTTATGTAGAAAAAGGGTCAGCAAACTTCTGTAAAAGCCCAGATAGTAAATATTTTCTGCTTTGCAGATCACATGGTCTCTGTTGTAACTACTCAACTCTGCTACTATAGCACCAAAGTAGCCAGAGAAGAGCTTACAGAGTGACATAAATGGTCAAAAACCTCACACGTTTTCCTTCTCTCCCATACTAGCACCCATATCATACAAACACACTGATATCCACATTCCCCAGGCACTGAACACAGCATTGCCCCACACAAATGTTCATACAATCACGGTATTTCAGTACCAGGTCCATCCTTACAGCAAGGTCTGACAAAAACACATTATCCATTCATCTTCTATTCATAACGTCACAATCAACTTGTAGGTGGACGAGAAAACTATAAATATGAGGACAAACGCAGGAAACAAACTTTCTTCCACTGACCAGTGAGGACAGATGCATGAAACAAACCTTTTTTTTTTTTTTTTTCAGACGGAGTCTCGCTCTGTCGCCCAGACTGGAGCACAGTGGCATGATCTCGGCTCATTGCAACCTCCACCTCCCGGGTTCAAGCGATTCTCCTGCCTCAGCCTCCCAAGTAGCTGGGATTACAGGCACCTGCCACCCTGCCGGGCTAGTTTTTGTATTTTTAGTAGAGATGTGGTTTCACCATGTTGGCCAGGCTGGTCTTGAACTCCTGACCTCAAGTGATCCGCCCGCCTCAGCCTCCCAAAGTGCTGGGATTACAGGCGTGAGCCACTGCGCCAGGCTATGAAACAAACTTTCTTCCACCCACAGCTTTCTCGTCTCTCCCCATTTACAGCAGTAAGACAGCCTAACCTGGGAAAGAGAGAGGGAAGCTACTTCCAAATGGATGCCTGTCCCCATCAGTAATAACCAAGTCTATTCAAGTGCCAGATGTTAACTTTAAAAGAAGGGAACATCAAAAGTCCAACTTTCTTCGCCTAGCTTTGTCAGGAATGTTTTTACCCTCAATCTGTAAGTGTGACCAACTGTAATTTTTAAAGGTTTATCCTCAATCTGTAAGTTTGATCAAATATAATTTTTAAAGGTTTACTATAATCTCTTCATCAGAAAACTAATGGAAAGATGGAATAAAATCTAAAGAAATGTCCTTAACAGGTAAATATTTCTAGAATGTATCTACTCCATCTAGGTAGTGTAAGTATTCTAAACTATGCTAGTATAACTGATTTAAATCACTGCCTTCTTCTGTAAATGGTGTCACCTTTAAAGTGTTATCTTGAAGAGGAAGTGAGTGATTTGCTCATGTCTCTGTACTGAACTAACACTGTTAACACCCAGTCCAGCTCTACCTTAAACAAGTTTGAGAAATACAGACACAATCCACACTTATTTGCCAAGACTAAGGTAAAATAAAGTTGGAACTCATATCCTCTTATGACTGATGTACTGAAAACAATCCATCTCTCACTGTTGCCCAAATAGCATAGTCACAAAGAGCTCTACCCTACCAAGCCACTCTGCAAGTCCCACTCTCAAAGGAAGACTCACAGGTGACTGAGAAGATAAACTCGCTATTGTTTCCATTATCCTTCAGTTCATCTGGCACCTTTGAAGAAATAGACTTCGATAAGACTCACAAGTCTCAAGGCCCCTTCTTTATGAAAGAAATAGCTAAACCTCTACACTCAGAAGCATCAGACTTTTAAGAATGCTTAAGTCATGTAAAAATGTACCAAAATTATTATCATTACAGCTACTAGGTAATAGCTGCCTACTCCATGTTAGATACTGTAGTTAAGTACCTCACATAGTTTCACTGATTCCTAAGAACACTGTTACTAACGCTTATGGAGTAGGAAACTGAAGCTCTGAGAGGCTATGCAACTAGTCAATGGAAGTGTGGAGATCTGAACGCTACCTAGTTCCAAAGGGTGTACTTTTTTCTAAAATTTCTAATTTTTTTCCAATTTCACAATGGAGGGAGAGTTGTGACTAGATTTGTCCAACAATTTTAATAATTTCACTGGCTGGGTGGAGTGGCTCACGTCTGTAATTCCAACACTGTGGGAGGCTGAGGTGGGAGGATGGCTTGGGTCCAGGAGTTAGAGACAACTGGGCAACAGTGAAGATTCCGACTCTAAAAAAAAACAATAATAATTTCACAAAAAGGGGGGGGCTGATTTCTAAATTGGAACCTCTTGTTGAAATCCTTAGAGCGCTAGTTAAACCCACTTCTTTTCAAAAAATAATTGACAGATTAAAAAAAGGTTAGAAATCCTTTTAAAGTAAATGTCATCACAGATCTGCAAGTGAACTGTCATTCTGGACAGGTCCCCAGTTAGTGGCTCTCTCCTGTGTACGCTAGCTACCACTAGGCAGTAAAAATAATTTACCCAATTCAAACACGTACCGTGCCTGCACTATGTTAAGACTACCGGCAAAGAGGGTAAAAAGCTAAATAAGGTCTATCACAGCCCTCAAGGAGTTAAAGGACTAGAGGAGGAGTCCATTTATAGTATAGTATGTGTGCAGTTACCATTTAGTCAAGGCAAAAGAAGTGTGAGAAATCCTAAAACAATAGTACCTACAGTATAACATGCCATCACCGCCCAGAGAAGGAAAGCAACTAGTGCACTCGTCAC
This sequence comes from Homo sapiens, assembly GCF_000001405.40. Lineage (NCBI taxonomy): Eukaryota > Metazoa > Chordata > Mammalia > Primates > Hominidae > Homo > Homo sapiens. Next base: position 85,382,575 of record NC_000015.10, on the reverse strand, counting down.
GTCATGTTGTAAGTAGTACTTGCTTACATTATGTCCCTCCCTGACAATCCCTTCCAACCTCTGTCAACCTCCTTCCCCACAATCACACACACAAAACCACACAACCAGGAAGGGAAGCCATGGAGCGAGTACTGTGAATCCTAAAAGCGGCTCTGTAATTTAAAAGTGCAATGGCTGTACCTGAAGAAAATTTGTCTTTAGCTTCATCAGGTGAAGAAAATTGGTTTTATAACACAAGGCCCACCAAACCAGAAAAGCCCAGGAACGCTTCTCCACAGGACTCACTTAGCACGAGAAATCACTCTGAGCAAACTGACACACACAGTATTTCTCAAATTTTTCTTTTTCATTTAGCAGATGGTAAAGGAATACAACTGAAGTTAACAATAAATGACACTCTGGCCATTTTGCTCCACTATGAATGACAGACATTTAAGCTAGTTCCATCTGGGGAACTGAAACAGAATCATGTTCATATAATAAGCCACACAAACCAAATTAAGTGTAATATGTGCACCCAAACTTGACAAAACTTGTACTTAATGCAGCCTGCAAATCCCCAAGAGTCCACGACAGAATACAAGAATAGTAACAATGATTTATCTCAACTGATCTTAGCTTCTTCACAAACTTGCCAATAATGACCTTTCAAGAACTGCACCGTTTGTCCTCATCTGCGCAATCCAACAGTTCAGAAAAACTGAAGAAAATGCTTCTTCTAAAAATAAAACACTTGTTGTGGGGGGGACTACTAACAAAAAAAAAGGCACACTGGTTTTTACTGTACTGAAGCAATAAACTCTCCAAATAACTTCATTAAGGAGTGTCATTAGCAAAGAATGAACACCAAAATACCGCTCAATCCAATTTTCATTGTGAATTCCGGGATCTAGAAAATTAAATGGGACGGTATCACTCTGCTATAAGAACTATTTCCAAAACAAAACAAACCTATCTACCCCCTTTCTTGATTTTTTTTTAAAAAGTTTTAGGGTTTTTCCTTTTTTCAACTTCACATACTTCGTGGCTTTGCAAAAAAAAAAAAAAAAAAAAAGCAGTAAACCGTATTTACCAAAAAAAAAAAAAAAAGTTTTGTTTGGTATCAAAGTATAGCTGCAAGCTGAGCCGGCTGGCTGCACGGGTCCCAGAGCGCGTGGGGACCGCACGGGTCTCCTGGGCCGCTCGCCTGCGACCCGCGCGGGTCAGCTGGGCCGCACCCCCGAGAAGCCGCGGAGAGGCACCGACAGGCAGGCGCGGCCCGACGTGTTTACCGTCCGCGTCGACCCCGGGGAGCCGCTCCCTCGCGCCCGCAGCACTTGTTCACGGCGCGGACTCCACGGCGGGGACTCCACACCGCGGCCGCCCGCCCCAGGGGAGGAGTGAGCCCGCCCCGGCGGCGCCGACCCGGGGACCCGGGGCAAGGATTCGGGGCCTCGCTGGGGGCGGAGCGCCTGAGGTAGCATCGGCGGCCGGGCGCGCCCCCCACCCGGAAAGCGGCGACGGCCTCTAAGTTGGGCTGCGGAGTGGGAGGCGCGCCGAGCCCCAAGCAGACAATGCGGGAGAAGGGCGATGCGCAGGGAGGAGGGGTCCGCAGACCTGAGGTCCCGGCGCCGCCCGGCGACCCGTCTGTCCAGCCCGCCCCCGAAACCCCCGCAGCCCCCGCCCCTCCTCCGGGGCCCGCCCCACCGAGCAACCGCAGGGGACTGGCCGCGCTCCGCGCCCCGACCCACAAATCACAAAACTTCCCCCAACTCCGCCAACTAAGTTGCGCTCTCACCGTGCGGCTCCCGGGGCTCCCCCGCGGGCCGAGCTGGGACAACTCTTCACCTTCGCCGCGGAGAAAGACAATAGGCGGCCGCTCCCCCGGAGGCGGCTAAAGCGGCGGCGACCGAGGCGAGCAATG